>NC_000013.11:83146166-83299006 GCF_000001405.40 Homo sapiens
GTTGGTTGAATCAAAAAAAAGTTATTAAGAAAACACTGCATACTTTTCAAATTGACAGATATTACTAGAAATGTGCAAAATGTGATTATTCAGTAACCATAGTCATTATATAACATATTCACAGTTTTAACTGGTTAATAAAATGACCATCTCTTCCTTTGTGTTAAATAATTGCTTCTCACTCCAATATAACTAAAGGGACAATATTGTTGTGCTATTGACTACCAGTAATTTATGGACTTTTGTCTTTTTTAACCACTAAAAAAGGCTACATTTCCCAGTAATGGTCAAAAAATAGTCATATTCAAAAATGAAAAATGAAATTACTTGTTTATACTTTTCTATTAATATAATGCAGACATTATCTTTCATTTTGTCTTTTTTTCTTTAAGGCAATCTTCAGAGTGATTATTAATCTCGTAACTATTTAAATACTATACATTGGAACAATTAATTCTAAATTTCATTTTGTTTAATAAATATCTTGTACAAAATTATATTGGTGCTATGACAGTCTGCACTTAATATAATTCAGTCATCACTTGTGATCAGTGACAAGGGCTAATATATATGCCACATTCGTTTCAGTCATGTCATCAAATTAAAGGCAATGTAACATTTTGTGGATGAATTCATATAGAAGTGTAATTTCTCTTGATAGGTGGTGGATGCACATATATTACAATTACCTAGAATACAAATAACCCACATTTGAAAACTGAATATAATGTTATTAAGAAGAAAAAATAAACTGTTTCCAAGTGCAATTTTATAATACTCTACCAAACCATATACATTCCAGACCTTGAGATGGTCTTCTTGCAATATTTAAAAATTAAGCTTTATGGGTTTTCAAGTAAGGAAATATTTCCATATTTCTGATAAATAAGCTCCTTCACTTGAAAATTGAATGGTGACTGGGCACAATGGCTCACACCCTGTAATCCCAGCACTTTGGGAGGCCGAGGTGGGTGGATCACGAGGTCAGGGGTTCAAGACCAGTCTGGCCAAGATGGTGAAACCCCGTCTCTACTAAGAATACCAAAATTAGCTGAGTGTGGTGGTGGGGTGCCTGTAATCTCAGCTGTTTGGGAGGCTGAGGCAGAAGAATCGCTTGAACCTGGGAGGCGGAGGTTGCAGTGAGCCAAGATTGCGCCACTGCACTCCAGCCTGGGCGACAGAGCAAGACTATGTCTCAATAAAAACAATAAAATAAAGAAGATCTAATGGTAACTTGTTTCCAATATCCTATTTTGAAATCACAGAGTAGTACATAAGGAAGATGAGAATAGATACTTTTTGTGAGTTTGCAAACATATTTTTTTTCAATAGTTAAATTTTGGTAAAATACACAATATAAATTTACCACCTTAACTATTTTAATTGTACAGTTCAGTATTATTAAATATATTCATAAGTTGCAACGATCACACCATTCATTCTTATAACTGTTTTTATTTTGTAAAATTGAAACTGTGTACCCATTAAACTATAACTCTCTATTTCCCCCTCCCACCAGCTGGCGACCACATTCTACTTTCTGTCTTTATTATTTTGATTGCACTAAGTATCTCATATAACTGGAAACATACATTATATGTCTTTTTGTGACTGGCTTATTTCGCTTAGCATAATGTCCATAAGGTTCATCCATGTTGTGCTTGTAGCATATGTTAGAATTTTCTTCTTTTAAAGACTGAAGAATTTTTCATTGTGTGTATATTTCACATTTTGCTTACTCATTCATTCATTGATGGACACTTGGGTTGTTTTCACTATTGTGAAAACACCATTTTCCATGTTTTCACTATTGTGAATAATGCTACTATGGGCATGGATGTACAAATATCTCTTTGAGGCCCTGCTTTCAATTCTTTTGATTATATGCCCAGAATTGGAACTGTAGGATCATATGGTAATTCTAGTTTTAAGTTTTTGAGGAACTGCCATACTGTTCCCTAGAGTGGCTATGCCATTTTACATTCTCACTAACAAGGGTTCCAATTTCTCTACTTCCTTATCACTATCTGTTAATTTCTGATTTTTTCTATAGTAACCATCCTACTGGATGTAAAATAGTACATCATTGTAGTTTTTTAATTTGCATTGCATTTTCCTAATGATTAGTGAAGTCAAACATCATTTTGTGTGCTTATTGGACATTTTATATCTCCTTTGGGGAATGTCTATATCTGATAAAGGGTTGTTATCTAGACTATATAGAGAACTCCTATATATAAAATTCAACAATAACAACAACAACAACAAAACAAATAACCTAGTGCCAACAGAAATTTTTAAATGCTGTATCAACAATTTGGTTACATTCAAATATTTGTGAAATTTTTCTAGAGAGAGAAGGTTGATTCTGCTTATTCACATACAGTGTAAAAGGAGGAATGAGGACTAGCAGTAGAGATAAAAGGAAAACCATTTGCCTTGCGAGTGATGAAGGATCTCCAATAACTAGAATTAGGCAGGGACCTTACACCCATTATTGATGAGAGTATAATTATCTCTGTCTTCTGTCAGAGTTTCTACCAAAGAGCTTTGAAAAATTTTCCTGTTCATATGATTCTGTTAATAGCATCAGAAGCACTAAGGTTAAGGATGTCTGTAGGGGTGAGAGAAGGGTTTACTACAAATAGAGAACTCTATGTCTGTCATTTCTTTTGAACACTATGTAGCTTTATTCTAACACCCTAATGTTATTCCTTAAGAAAACTGACTTTGGAAGCAGCAATAAGTTTATAAAATGTAACATTCAAGTTGTACAGACATGTTTCCTCTTATTTGTTTTAGAGTCCTAGTGAATAGATCTGTAATTATGCTAACAAAAAAAGTATAAAATGATGCTTTGAGAACAAAAATACTAATTGAGAATACTAATTGAGGCATTTATTATTATTTGGCTTAAAATATGTTTCCTGTTTGGCACCTGATTGCACAAGGAAGAGTAAGATGAAAGGGAAGCAATAATATGTTTTCTAAATGGAGGGTCTCTGATAATACTTTTTCAAATTTGACTTGAGGAATATTCTAGAAGTCACAGACAATATTCTCTAAGGTCAGATATGTTACTTTTGCTGGGAGATTCTAACTGAGGAAACACGTTTTCTTCTGGCTGAGGTGATGATGTCAAATTAAATACTTCATTTTATGAGAGAAGCAAATGGAGTAGAGACTATAGAAGTGGCACTTAGCCAGCCACATCAGTGAAGCAGTATAATAGATGAGAGGGCCAACTTGTTCTCAGATCACATATGTCAAGGGGTATTTTCATAATGTCCACTGTTAGGCTCACCAATACCTCCTAATTAAATCAAATCCTCTCACTCTCTCATAGTATTCATTTTGAAACAATATAAGAATTGGCAGAGATAACAGGGATAGATTCCACAGAGTCCCATTACAGAAGTTTCATTAAATGAAAATAATTAAATACTTTCAGTACCATGCTGTTTACTCTCTCACTTGACTGTTTGATGATGTATTAAGAACTGAGTGTTAGGGTAATTGTGATGATATTTCAAATAAAATGGTTTATTTGAAACCATGAACTAATTCAATTAAAAGTTTATTTCAAATATATGTTTTCTTTGCATGGGCCCATTTGTCATCTTGCAGTGTGATTTTGTGAAGAAGAGGTAATAAATATCTCGTGCCTCAAGGATTCTTATGCTTGGTTTCTTTCTAAAGGTCTGAAGTGTATATCTTAAAGTATGTGTTGTAAAAATGCAAATATAATTAAAATTATATACAATACCAATACTCAAAAGAAACCAGTGTCTTATAAACTATTATTGCAAGTAGAAAAATAAATGAAAGGCAATTATTAGGAAATAAGTGATTATGTGAATAAATATTCATATATATTATACTACATATGTATATTATTTATTCAGGCATAGCACTTTACTTTTTTAATGGAAACTTGCTCAAATTTAAGTGTTCCATAAATGATGATATTGATGTCAATGATCATTATCATTAATGTAACCTCATTGTGATTTTCTGTAGATGGAATATAATACTTGCTTAGTGAATGAGCAGGTGAGAAAATTGAAAAGGAAGATTTAATTACGCCTATTAAGAAAAAACAGTGAATTAATCATGACACAAAGCAGAATCTAACTCTGTCACCCAGGCTGGGCTGCAGTAGCACAATTATGGCTCAGCGCAGCCTTGAAGTGGGCTCAAGAGATCCTTCCACCCTGGCCTGCTGTATAGCTAGGATAACGGGCCTGTGCCACTATGCTGGCTATTTTTCTTTTTAATTTATAGAGATGGGGTGGGGGGGGGTCTCCTTATGTTGCCCAGGCTCGTCTCTAACTCGTGGCCTCAAACGGTGCTCCCATTTAGGCTTCCCAAAGTGCTAGGATTACAGGTGTGAGCCACCAGGCCCTTCCTTGTTTATTCTTACAATGTTTTACCATGTCAATTTTAAGAACATTGTATACAATAATTATGAATTGCCTTACTAAACTTCATAGGTTCCCTCTAGTTGTATTCAACGTATTATGCAGCCTTGATATTCCCCCAAGCATTGAACTAAAGGATCAGATATGAGTATGTGCCAATTTCATATCCATGCAGACAATGCTATTTGTATCCATGCAGACAATGCTATCTGTGTGTTCTCTGTTCATGTTTTCTTTCTTTACAGAGAGAACACTGATATTATTCAGTGTGTTGGCATTCAGATCAACTTAAATAATAAGTTCCAACGATTCCCATGCAGGTAAAAATGATGTACACGATCAATGCACTTCTGTCCAGTTGAGGTATCGAATGAGGATTATTGAAAAAATATGTAAATACCCAGGCTCAGCTGGCATGCGCCTTTTGTCTTTTATTTGTATCTCTTCCCTACTTCTTCCTGCTTGAAACAAATGAATTCCCGGAAAGGAGCAGACATCTGGCTACCATGAGCATAAAAGACACCATTAGAATGACATAAAATGCGGCCAAAAGTGCTTAGTGTTTGGAAAATTTCTCTGAATGTATGCCATGGCTGTAGACTGCCTCCATCTGGACACCTTGTGATCTGAGAAAAATAAGACCCCAAATTGATTTGGTCAAAGGCAATTATGAATGATGCAACACAGCAACCTTGGGAGAAATAATAACCTTAGAGGACTATATATACGCCTAATAATTAACTTAAATAGGAACATTCCCCAATAAAAATCAAATGCTGCATTTTAAAACATACCAGTGTAGCTAAGCCAAGAATGGTGGTAGCTTACAGCTTATCACTAAGATGATCTCTGTGGAAAATTAGTTTTTGTTATTTCACCATAGATGATGATTAGTGGCATAAAAATGCATTTTTTTCTTTGATGTTGCTCTTCTCTTCAGAAGCATGAGAGTCCTTTAATGTTAAGTATTATGGGATCTTGCTGTCTATCCCACTTTCTCCTTCAAAATGAAAAGAATCTTATTTTTTATTGGAAATAATTTTATTCCATAAAATGAATAAAATTTTATTAAAATAGATATATCCAATTTGTTAGTCTTAAATGTATGTGCGTTTTTGTTTTACATTTTTGTATAATTGAAACTGTAGTAGATAATTACTATAACGGTTAAAAAGGCAATTAATAAAAGTAAATAATAAAATCTTTTTAATCCCACCTTTTAAAGATAAACCTTAGTAGTGTATTTAATAGCTTTATAAATTTGTTTTGTGTTTCTGTCCATGTTTGATAAATTTGTTTATATATGCTTAAATATATTAAAATGTCTTTGTATTAATGATTCCAACAAATACATATGAAACATGTGTATTATTTCTCAAGTATGGTGCTAATTAATAATCCTTTTTTTATTGCAAATGACAAAAGATAAAATAATACACTTATAAAAAGTTTTCCTTAATACATTTTCATCCACATTCACATAATTTTTAGTTCTTTAAAGGATGCTAAATTTGTTTCAGGATTTTTCTTATCTTTAAGACAATTTTTGAAGTAATCTCTTCCTTCTGTACTTTTGAAAGACTGACATTTATCTCAGGGCCTCTTTTTTCCCTTCTCTCTTTTATTTTTGCCTTTGTGGGGATGACAGTGTATTCAGAAAGAGAAGACTATGGAGGCAAAGGAGGAGATGGGAAAGTAAGAGAGCAATACCGTCTCATTCCCTAGCTGGACATCTAATTAGGCATTGGCTTTAGGAGTATAAACAACTACCACCACTCCCATCACCACCATCACCTACAATCATAGAAGGAGGGAGGACACATATAAAACTGTGATGGGAATGTTAGACCAGATTGATTGTAAGACCAGAGATCCCACTATACTTGTATATGTTCCCTGGAGAGCACAAAAGACCATCGTTTTATCAAGTAGATGAGAATTGTTCTGGTGAAGGTTACGTTTACTTTCCTGAACAGTTAAAGGTTGCTGTCCTCGGTAGACAATGATGTACTCCAGGAAGTGCTGTCATGGAACTGTTTTCCTGGTATAAGGAAGTATAACAAGATTCTAGAATGGCAGATATTAGACGGCGGCCCTCAAACACAGATGAATGGTCAAAATTACTACAACAGGAAATAAGGCCAGAGTGGAGGTGAAGGTACCTTAACCTTCTAGAATCTGTGAAAATTACCAATGTATCACCATGTTTCCAGGTAAAGAAAAACAGAAGAACAGAGTAGTAGAGTATTAGTAAACCAAGTTTTGGTGAGCTGAAGGCTGACAAGAGACACCCTTATGCAAAAAATTGTTAGCTTAAGATTCTTTACAACTCTCAATGCCTACCAAATTCAGTGGAGGATGGGATTCCTTGAGGAAAGACTAAGTAATGACCTTGCAAGTGTGTGTGTCTGTGTGTGTGCATGAGAGTGTGTATGTGTGTGTCTATGTATGTATATATATTCTCCATTTCTTCCCATCTGGAGCCTACAGTTATTTACCATCTTAATTATTTGTTGGGGAAAAGAAATATCCAGATTTCAAGAGCTTTTCTTTTGGTTGTTGTTTTACAGTTCTAGCTTATATTGATCTCAAGGGATCTCAGAAGTTAAGCAAAAAAAAAAAATGATGACAAAGAGGATATCAAGAGCATTGAAAGTATTTGTGATGCTAAATAATTGAATTGGGAGCACTAAAGAGAGTGAAAAGCTGAAAAGACAGGACATGGTAATCAGAAAGCTTGTTCCAATAAATTGAGTTTATTCAAGTATTGCTGTTATTGACAATATCAACTCTAATCTACCTAGGCTATAATGTCTTTGAATTGAAAGGATCTGTAGAACAATAATGAAGCAGAAAATAAAATCATTGAGAAATGAGAGGAAATATCTCTGGAGTAAAGTACTTAACAATATAAGGGAAGTTAGCTTATGTTTTGATGACATGATACTCAAAGTTGATTAACATTGGGAATAAGGGGAGAAACAGTTTGAATATGGCCAAAAAAAAGGAAGAGATTAATACCACTTCCAGGACCAGTATGAGAGTTCTGGAAGAAAATACTAATCTAAATGTTTAGATATTTAGTATTTTAGTAGAGCATGTAGGAAAATCAGTATTCTCCGGAGACAGTCTGGATACCATTATGTTATGAACAAAGAGAAATCTAGGGATACAGGGGATTTTGTTAAATATGAACCATAAATTTCAGAGAACAGAGTGGAATGTGGATAAGAAGCAGGTGTAGGTGAATGAAACAGAATAGAAAATACATGTGAAGATTAGACTACAAGACAACAAGTGGCACCTGGAAAAAACCGTGAGTCTCAAGAGCATAACTTCATTAATTGTGATTTGAGGCATTCAGTAGTGTGAAACTGGTAATGTTCTGTACATAGCAACAGATGGAAGCTGGAGTTACCTCTTAACTGTTGACAACAGAGGTGAAAATATCTTGTAAACAATGTCTTAGTTCCAATGTGGGAAACCTCTGTTGAACCTGGAACCATTCCAATCTAAAGGGTTCTTGTTTTTCTATTACTGTAAAAGTGCACTCATGAAGTCAGTTGGTGGTTTCTAGACCCCAAACAGGAATAGATTGCAGGAAATAACTACAGATAAAGTGAAAATTAAAAGAATCGTTAGAACATTTTTCACTCAAATCAATATTTGTTAACTGGATTACATAGCTTTCCTAACAGGAAGATCTAATTTACTACAACAGACTGCAGAAGCAATACAATATCTAATAAAGCAACTTTACAAAATACATACAGTTATATGAAAGCACATTTTTTGCCCCTTAAAATGCAACATACACAGATATATTTACAAGAAAAATTACTCTAAGTCTTTATAGACTAGATGATTCCAAGAGTAATACATTTTCTTAGACCAGAAAGAAATAAGGAAATTATCTGAGTTATTTTTATGAGAATAAAATATTGACAATAAATTTAGATATTATTCACTTAATAACATTCAAAAATTTTAAGAAACAAAACCATGCAACATTTTTAATAGATAATCACTCAGGGACAAGTAAACATTATCCTGGCAATGCAAACATGGTTATATTAGAGGCATTTTCTTAAATAATTCAACAAATCAATAGATGAAAGCAGAAAAATATATAGTCCCCAGTGAAGATACCAAACATACATTTAATATATAACACATTCTTTCTTTCTTTCTTTTTTTTTTTTTTTTGAGACAGACTTTCGCTTTTGTTGCCCAGGCTGGAGTACAATGGCGTGATCTCGGCTCACTGCAACCTCGGCCTCCCGGGTTCAAGTGACTCTCCTGCCTCAGCCTCCTGAGTAGCTGGGATTACAGGCACCTGCCACCATGCCTGGCAAATTTTATTGTATTTTTAGTACAGATGGGGTTTCACCATGTTGTCCAGGCTGGTCTCAAACTCCTGACCTCAGGTGATCCGGCCGCCTCAGCCTCTCGAAATGCTGGGATTACAGGCGTGAGCCACCACGCCCGGCCAACATATCACTTCTTAATCAAAAATAAATTTTCAGCTGGGCTTGGTGGCATGTGCTTGTAGTCCCAGCTACTCTAGTGTAGAGTGGCTGAGGCAGGGAGATCTCTTGAGTTTAGTAGTTTGAAGCTGCAGTGAGCTAAGATCACACCACTGCACTCCAGCCTGTGTGACAGAGTAAGACCCTGTCTGTAAAATAAATAAATAAATAAATAAACTCTTGTTAAAAGAATAGATAATACAAGCTACTAAGAGATAAAATGTGACTATTTCCACCCAAAAGCTATCATCATGTTTGATAGAGACCCAAATTGAAATAGCCTCAGAAATTTTAAAGAGGAAGAGCAGTTTTTCCTCTCTACCATTAGTTAATATTACAGAATTTTTAATAAAAAAGGAAATATAGACACAAGTTAAAATTAACAAATAATAATTCTCATCTACATATGGTATTTCTGTAAAATAAAATAAATGGATACTGCTTCACACAACAGGAGGTTCAGTAATTAGTGAGATTCAACAAAACATCTGGCATTTAATGCAATTCATAGACACAAAAACACCAAGTTATCACAATAACAACAATAATAAAGGAAACAAACCAAAAAATACTTGATAAATGTGTAAATAAAGATAACCTTAAAACTTTTCTGAAGGAAAAAAACGTAAAAATTAGCTGAATGTTTTACTATTTGTATAAAAAATTTACCAAACAATATAGCCAGTAATACATTTTAAAAAGAAATAAAAATAGGCTTACCCTACCACATATTAAATTATATCATAGTAATACCACAAAGTCTTAAATATAACAGTGTGGTTAGAGGGAAAGTATTAAGAGATTTACTGGCAAAAATGTATAACTCAGAAATAGACTTACAGACATGAGAACTTCTTGTACTTGATATGCTGCTGACTCTTATCTCATGGGTGAAGAAACATAGATTAATCAATAAATGGCAGTGGGATCATAAGTTAAGTTCCTGGAAATCAAAATTTTAAAGTAATATTTATTCATTTCTACATAGTCTATTAGGATATATTTCAAATGAATTCCATATTTAAATCTAAATAATAAAAGCAAAAGTTGAAAACATGAAATAATTATTTTATATCACAGACATATCAAATCATCACACTGTACACTTTAAAGTTATACAATTTTATTTGTCAATTATACCTCAGTACAGATAGGGGAAAAAAAATCTGATGGAATTCTTAAAAGAATGCCGATGAAAGAGTGGGTCTCTTCTCAGAAGCAGCCCCCAGGAGTGCCTCACTCTCACAATAGCCCACACCTAGTCTCCTGAATTGTATCATTTTTTTCAATGTATTATCAAGATTATCGGTTCAGTGTTTATACCACTGTATAGCTCCAGTGGCCTGTGTTTCAGATAAACAGATACTGCCTGATGTAACTCTCTGGGTATGACTTTCTCCCCAGATTTACAACAGCAATAGGTAGCAATAGGTCTCATGACTTTACTTCTCTAATGGATTGAAGAAAAACCAGTGAATTTTAATTTGTCCTGCCTTTGCTTTTTGTGAAATGAGAACAACTTACAAGCCCTTCAGATATTAGAGCTAATACTAGAAATCCTCTGGTGAGGTTTTTATTACTTATGTTATATTTTACAATCACAAATTCTCTATTTGCCTCTTTTAAAAAAATGTTTTCTAGGTGGGAGTGGTGGCTCAGGTAAGCAGATACTGCCTCATGTAACTCTCTGGGTATGACTTTCTCCCGGATTTAAGGGTAGCAATAGGTCTCATGACTTCAGTTCTCTAATGGATTGAAGAAAAACCAGTGAATTTTAAATTGTCCTGCCTTTACTTTTTGTGAAACGAGAACAACTTACAAGCCCTTCAGATGTTGGAGCTAAAACTAGAAATCCTCTGGTGAGATTTTTATTACTTCAGTTATATTTTACAATCACAAATTCTCTATTTGCCTCTTTTAAAAAATATTTTCTAGGTGGGAGTGGTGGCTCATGCCTGTAATCCCAGCACTTTGGGAGGCCGAGGCGTGCGGATCACCTGCCTGAGGTCTGGAGTTCGAAACCAGCCTGGCCAACATGGTGAAACCCTGTCTCTACTAAAAATACAAAAATTATCCAGGCACGGTGGTGGGCACCTGTAATCCCAGCTACTCAGGAGACTGAGGCAGGAGAATTACTTGAACCCGAGAGGCAGAGGTTGCAGCAAGCCAAGATCGCACCATTGCACTCCAGCCTGGGAGACAGAGTGAGACTCTGTCTCAAAAAAATTTTTTTTTTTCTATTTACCTACTGATATGGTTAGGCTTTGTATCCCCACCCAAGTCCCATCTTGAAATGTAATGCCCAGGTGTTGAGGGAGAGACCTGGTGGGAGGTTAATGGATCACGGAGGCAGTTTCTTCCATGCTGTTCTCGTGATAGTGAGCGAGTTCTGATGAGCTCTGGTGGTTTTATAAGACAGTTTTCCCTGCTGTCTCTTGTACTTGCTCTCTCTTGCCTGCCACCATGTAAGACATGCCTGCTTCCCTTTTCTACCATGATTGTAAATACCCTGAGGCATCCCAATCATGTGGAACTGTGAATCAATTAAACCTCTTTTCTTTATAAATTACCCAGCCTCAGGTATGTATTTAGAGGAGTATGAAAATGCACAAATACATCTGTTACATTTCTTACAATTTCATTTATTCCAATATGTTTTTTATATCATTGTACATAGATATAATAGCTGCTTTCAAGTCCTTGCCTAAAACTCCCAACCTCTGGATGATGATCTATGCTAACTTTTTCCAGGATCTGCATGTGTCATTTTATTTTATTTTATTTTTTTGGTTTGTATCCTGAACATTGTGATGTTAACTTTTATAGCCTCTCAGTTTTGTTAAGTTCTCCTAGATAGCAGAAATGTTTTTGTTAAGTAAAAAATTAAATTGATAAATTATGAATTAGAATCAAACTTCGGGTAGATGACAATTCAAGCCTCAGTTTAATTATTTGAGCCTTAGCTTGGTGGCAGCCTATGAATATGAGGTTTAGCCAGTGGCTCGGAAAAGTTTAAACAGGAACACCAGGGCTCCCTGTTTCTGGATTGTCATATTAGATTTCTGCTGCAGTGGGCAGACCTTGCTCTGTCATTTGAGCCAGAATAATGGTGGGTTGTTGATTGGAGCTTCTGCCACCAAACATCACTCTGCCTAGCACCACTTCCTTGATCCAAAGCCTCCTAATTTAGTAATTTCTCCTCTGATTTCCTGAAAGTTTCAGCTCTTTTTTAAGATTGTGTGCCTTTGTTCACTCTATGTAGACTTCAGGCAGTTTTTCTTAATTTTTATTTTGTGTTATGTATTTTGTCCAGAGTTTATCATTGTTCTTCTAAAGGTTTGTACCTTACATATTTACTCTCATATTAAATATGGTGCTCTCCAAAAATATAATATTTCTTAATTTTCTCGATGAGCTGTGATTGTTTCTTTTGCCCTGAATTACCTAATGGGTATTTTTCTTGGCACCTCCACTGAAAGAAAAAAAGTGAAACCCCTTATGTAGAAAAACTAGTGATGACAACAATAAAAATTTCCATAAAAGCTTGTTACTGGTTTTGAAATTAAAGCATTATCTGTACATTCATTATTGTGTCAGTTACATTTGCATATTATCATAATGCTATTTTATGCTGTCCTTTTCATTGGTATCAAATAATATATGATTACAAAAAATTGATATGTTTCTTTCTGCATTGTTGTGTGACAAGCAATTGCAAAGAAGCCAGTGAAGTGAACATAATACAAAAAATGTTAATTAGCTTGATGTTACCCAATCAGGAGGAAGCAGAAGTAAGTCTGCAACTGAGAAGTGAACTAAAGTACTTTTATGTAAGCTACAGGGTACCTACATTTACAGAAATTGTGTATTTATAGATTGGGGAATTATACTTGAAGAACATATATAATATGTTCCTAGGTATTGGAAAATAAATAAAAACATATTATGGCTCTTTTGGAAAAAAGTTATTACCAATTTTCAAGTTCTTATAAACTATATCTAACTCTAAAATATAAAAAGAATTGAAGATATTAAAAATAAAACTAAATTTGTTTCAAATTTTATATTATGATCAACCCTTGAACTCTTTTTTTTTTCTTTTATTATTATACTTTAAGTTTTAGGGTACATGTGCACATTGTGCAGGTTAGTTACATATGTATACATGTGCCATGCTGGTGCACTGCACCCACTAACTCGTCATCTAGCATTAGGTATATCTCCCAATGCTATCCGTCCCCCCTCCCCCCACCCCACAACAGTCCCCAGAGTGTGATGTTCCCCTTCCTGTGTCCATGTGATCTCATTGTTCAATTCCCACCTATAAGTGAGAATATGCGGTGTTTGGTTTTTTGTTCTTGTGATAGTTTACTGAGAATGATGATTTCCAATTTCATCCATGTCCCTACAAAGGACATGAACTCATCATTTTTTATGGCTGCATAGTATTCCATGGTGTATATGTGCCACATTTTCTTAATCCAGTCTATCATTGTTGGACATTTGGGTTGGTCCCTTGAACTCTTTTAGTAACTCTATACATTACTAATTTTAATATGATTTAATGCTTAAATCTAAAAGTTCAAGGGTATCAACACTACTTTGCACCAAAATACTAGAAATATATAAACTCAAAGTGTTCAGATTTTGACTATAAACAACATAAACTAGTTAAGATAAAAATTATTGAACATGGCCGGGCGCGGTGGCTCACGCCTGTAATCCCAACACTTTGGGAGGCCGAGGTGGATGGATCACCTAAGATCGGGAGATTGAGACCAGCCTGACCAACTTGAAGAAACCCCATCTCCACTAAAAATACAAAATTAGCCAGTCATGGTGGTGGGTGCCTGTAATCCCAGCTACTCAGGAGGCTGAGGCAGAAGAATCCTTGAGCCCAGGAGGCAGCGGTTGCAGTGAGCCGAGATCATGCCATTGCACTCCAGCCTGGGCAACAAGAGCAAAACTCCACCTCAAAAAAAAAAAAAAAAAAAAAAAAAAAAAAGAACATTTTCTAAATGCTTGTTCTGCAGTTACCTCAATGAATCAATGTCATTTCTATCAGGAAATAATGTTTATTGAAACTTCATTTCTACACGATTGGTGGCTATATTGATACACCATTTAATAAAATTAGAATTTGTTAATATAAATATTACATTTATGCATGATCAATATTTATTTTCCATAATTGTTGCTTAAGATCCATTTTTATAATGCAAAGATTCACATACAATATGTATATTTTTATTAATGTTTCCTGATTTTTAGGTGATAATTATTGTCCTCATGGGTAGAAGAAGCAGCTGAAGGATATTCTCATTGGTTGTGTATTCATATGCACCACACAACTTTAATTCCTATTTCAAAGCTATACAAATAGCAAAAGCTGCTCAAGAACATACCAACAAATCCTTAAATCGGGTAATGCACTAAAAAAAGACATATTAGTCATGGTTGACAGGTTTAAAAAGAAAAAGAACATAAACTGATTATTTATGCAGGCAGTGCTGCTCTTTCTACTGTAACTGACTACTTTGCAACTCACAATTTGATTATGCATCCATCGGTATGTTATACAACTTTTTAGGTTGATATTTGGAAACACTTGTTAACTCTACACAAAAGCAAAATTAACAACTTCTCTTTTTCTTTTATTGTGGTAAAACCATATAAGATCTACCCTCTTAACAAATTTTAAGTGTACAGTAAAATATTATGAACTATAACCACAATGTTATACAGCAGTTCTCTATAACGTTTTCATTTTACATAACTGAAATTTTATACCCAAAGAACATTAAGTCCTCATTGCTCCGGCAACACTGCCCCTGTAGCCACCATTTTACTTTCTACTTCAATGAGTTTGACTACTCTAAATACCTTATATCAGTGGAATGATGGTATATTGTGGTTTTTGACTGATTTATTTCACTTAGCATAATGTCCTCAAGGTTTATTTATGTTGTAACACAGGGGTCTCCAATATCCGGGCCATGGACCAGTACTGGTCTGAGGCTTATTAGGAACCAGGCAGCACAGCAGGAGGTGAGCGGTGGGCAGGCAAGCATTACTGCGTGAGCTCCACCTCCTGCCAGATCAAGGGCAGTGTGAGATTCTTAACAGGAGCAGGAACCCTATTGTGAACTGCACACGCAAGGAATCTAGGTTGCGTGCTCCTTATGAGAATCTAATGTCTGATAATCTGAGTTGGAACAGTTTCATCCCCAAACCATCCCCGTCAAGTCCCTCCCATGGAAAAATTGTCTTCCACAAAACTGGTCCCTGGTGCCAAAAAGGTTGGGGATCACTGTTCTAGCATATAACAGGGTTTCCTTTTTGTGGCTGAATAATATTCCACTATATCTACATTTTGATGTAAAAATTTGGTTAATGGAGATTAACTAATTTAAGTTAGTTAATAGTTATACTACCTAAATTAAGTTAATAGATATACTTACTAATATTAACTACATTTTTATGCACTGCATAACAATGTTTTGCTTGATAACAGACTGCATATATGATGCTGATCCCATTAGATTATAATATTATAGTTTTTCTATTCATTTTCTATCTTTAGATACACAAATACCATTGTGTTATAACTGCCTACAGTTTTCTGGACAGTGACATACTGTACAGGTTTATAGCCTACGAGCAATAGGTTATACCACATATCACAGGTATATGGTAGGCTCTACCCACCAGGTTTTTATAAGTACACTCTGTGATATTTACACACTGACAAAATTGTCTAACAACACATTTCTCAGAATGTAACCTGTTGTTATGCAATGTACACTGTACTGTAGGAAAAGGTTTTCATTCTAAAAACATTATTTTTAAAAGTCCGTAGCATTTTAAATTGATGATAGAATTAGTTCTACATGGCTGGTAATAAAATATAACCACACTGATCTTCACACTTTAGCTTACATATTTTTATTTTGAGATATTTATAGGATAGTTTTTAAAAATCTACTTGTAGATGTTTACACAAATGAATATTATTTTGTAACCTCCTACAATGTGGTTAACTCAAGTGTTTTCCAAATTTTGATTGCAGATAAAATTAGTATTCCGCCAAAATATGATTGAATATTTTCTTTTTACTTACTTTTTATTCCTTTTTAAATCAGTAATACACAAAATATAATTAATATTTTGTTGATTAAACATTTATCAATATTATTTGATTCAAGTACAGGTAAATAGCAGTCTTGTCTTTGGTCAAGACAAATATTTCAAAGTTTAATGAACATTAAATATATTCAAATGTATTGAATTCCTTTTAGTATTTCAGCCAAAAATGTCATGATAACGTTTTCACTTATCATATATAGTTTCTTCTCTAAAATCTTTTAATATTGTGTCAATAAATTTCTTCAGAATACCTACACTTCTAACAGTTTCTGGTAAAGACCATTTTCATCAAGTAAAGGACATCAGATTGTTTCTGTTGCCATCTATGGCAAGCAGTGGGCTGAATCTGATAAAAGTTAGTAGTCCTATTTCTGTGAGCTCCTTGCAGCTTGTTCTCAGTATCAGATACTTATAGTGCTGACATTTCAAAAGCACAGATGGTGCAGAGGAAGTCCTAAGACGTCACCAGAGGGCGGTTTTCAAATCTTTGTCACAGGTTTAGAGAGATACAACTTGAAAGACCAAAACTTTTTCACTAAGCTCTCCATTTGCAACTGAAAGTTAGTTATCTTCAAAAACACTGAAATTACAAAGACCTTACCTGAATTTGTAAAATAGTTACATCATATGTTTTCTATGAATTAGAGGCAATGTTGGCGCTTTCAACCTTTGCATAAACATTGTAAATAATTTCTATAGGAGTATTTATATTTCCTTCCGTGTACTGATATTGTTGTAACTCTCCATCATGAGCTTTGTAAAATATAACAATAATAATCGTATAGTGTGGTATTAAAATATCTATATTTTATTGTAATTATTGGACTATAGGTTGTCTCAGAGTCCGGAATTTTCAGTCCTTCTTTTCTCTTGCAGACCATTGTGCCTAGTTTAGTATTTGGTATGCTGATGGTGCAAGTAAATGTTCACTGAATGTTTAAATGAATGAATATTTTTTCAGTTATGAGACTAAAATTATTTTATGTGAAGGAGAAGGGACAAAGCATTTTTATAAGGCAGAGGTTAAGTTAAAATTACAGAATGTAGAATAATAATTGAAATATTCTGTTTATTTTATGATGTGAGTAGTCCTTGATTTTAAAAAAACTACAAATTTAGTTTATAATTAGAGGAAAAAACATGAGCAGAAATAATAGGAAATATTATATTATCTTACTCCATAGTTTCATAAGCAGGTATTTATATTTTTAAAAAGTTACGCATACTTTAATATTATAAATGCTCATTTTTAAATCAAGACTTTTGGCAAAGTCTTAAAAACTACAGTTAACGTCTGACTTTTTCAGGCCAGTGATCAAAAATATCTGTGGTGTTTGCACAATAGGTTTTTTTTTCTATACATTTGGAAATGATTTCCCAACATTAATATAATTTGTGTGTATCTTTTAAAGAAGTATGCATTGCACAACATGTTAGTAACTCAGTAAATAGCTTCAAATGTAAATATAATATCTGACAAATATTCTTAAATTCCTAGTAATAACTTTAAAAGTAATGCATCATCTATTTTACACACTAATGTTAAAACCATATTGTATTATATTGTTCTGATCATTATTTCTGAACTGATATATAATAATCATATAAACAAACATATATTCTTAGGTCTATTTTATTTTTCACCTTTTAACTAATAAACTGATTTTTTAAAAATGATAAATTTATAAGCATCTGCAATTTAAATCACACAGTAAAAGACATGGAGGAATGTATTCATTATGTGAAATTCAACTTTCAAAGATAATAATGTATGTCTTTTCTTTAGCTTTACTCCAGATCTTACTAAATGCATATATGTACATAGCACACTTTTTCATATAGTTTTTCATAATGGAGATAGTATTATATGTGAATTTCTCTACATATACTATTTGTATATGCATAATTATTTTAAAATAATCTCATACTATAGTGCTTAATAGCTGAGGGAATGCTTTGTATATATTGTAATTTACATATTGTGTTCTCTTACTAGATATTCAAAATGTCTTCAAAATTTTAAAATAAAATCAAAGATTTTTGAGATACTTTATGAATTAATATTTTTTTCATCTTTGTAACCATATTTGTAGGGCAAATCCATAGAAGTAGAATTGCTGGATCAAAAGAAACAGATACTTTACAATGTCAAAATGAACACCCCAAAAGAATGCATAAAACAATGTGTTAACAACAGTAATGATATTCTGATGAATATGGATTTTCTTTCCAAAAGTAAAATATCATAAATGTTTCTTTTGTCCTCTAGTAAAACAGTTTTTATCATAGTCTTTCGTCTCTCATTTTATTTATTTTAACATACTGAGTGTTTTTGTTTTCTGTTTTCTAGTCTATTTTCTACTCGTTTAATTTTTGGCATAGAAAACTCTTCTTGTGTGTATTAATTATGTTATTAGCCAATTGATAGCAATTTCTAATATTTCAAAAATATTTTACTGTTTTACAGTGGGCTTTCACATATAACATCTTACTTGCATACAATCACAATTTTGTCTTTGTTTTTCTGTTTCAATATGTATACTTCTTATTTCATTTGCTGTTTATGTGCACTGGCTAGCTCTTTAAGAATAATATGAAAGTACCAAATATTTATTCATTATTTCCATGGTCCTTCTTATAAAAGAACTCTAATATTTTGATTACTATTATAAGAAAATGCTCACATTTTGCATTTGATTATCTTTTAAAATATTTAGGGGATACAATATTAACTTATTTGTGATAATCTTTTCCCAAAACTAATCAAATTTTCATCTAAGTTTCAGAATTCATATGTCAGAAATTATTAAAGGAAAACTGGATACTAGTATGTAGTATGGTCAAGAGGCTAGTACTTTAAGATAACACAATATTTATGTAAACAGAAATCTTGCAAATGAAGAAGAAATAAAAGATCCTTACCATTAGAAAGACTTCTTATCATATTTGCTATTATTAGAGCATAGTGGACTAATTTTTATCTTGTTTCCAGACTATTCTTATAAAGGCTATTCCACCTCTCTTTAACAATATTTTCATGCTTCTAAGTTAGGCATGTTGAAATGTATTTAATTGGCTATGTTTCAGATAAAATAGTGATGCAAGCTCAAAACATACTTAATCATATATTAAAAGGAGATAGTGTATAATTATGAAAGGCTTAAGGAAGAAATATAGTCTGTGATGGGAGTTGACAATATTGACAAGAGTTGTCAATAAGTCTCTAGAAAGTATTTTCTTGGCTTAAAGAAGGTTAATAAACTGAGATCTAAAAGTACTGGAGAGGACAACCTAAGTAATTATCTTGTTAGACTTATTTTAATTTCAGGTAATGGACTAGGAAATATAATAAAGTAATTGATCTTTTAGAAGAAGGGCTTGATGAATTGAATAAAAAGTTGTCTGCACAAGTTTCAGCGGCACAGTTGCAAACTTATGTAATAAATCAATTTTGACAGAGTAATTGATAAAGTTGACAGGACAATGTGCCATGTGTAATGTAACCAGGTTAAAGTCAAACTAAAGATGTTGTTCTGTTACTGCCTTCTTTTAACAAACAATGCATCCCGAGTATCACTCAAAAAGGTGTACTATGAATGAAATTATATGAAAATTACCCTAATTATTAGAAATATATTCTTTCAATCATGTTTGCTTGAATTGCTTCATTGTTTGGAGATTTCAAATTATATTTTCCTTAATTACTTTTCTGGAAGCCTTATCTATGTGTGTCAAAATAACCTTCCTAAAATTTTCTTTTACCATATGATATAATAGCAAAAGCCACAATTACTTTTGCACTAAACGAATATAATTTTATAAAACACAGTTATTGAACATCTCATTAACTCATTAAAGAGCAAATAGTTCTGTATATTTTTTTCTTTTTATTCATATAAAGGGTCTCAATCAGACCTTCTGCTACCCAGTATATAGTTTTGATTAATTGAAAAGACGAGTAGGCTTTGATTTCCCTCCACCCTTCAGATTACATTAAAACAGCTCTTTGTAAAACAAATAAAATACCTAAATATGAATATTAAGTAGCATAATTTTCTCAAAAATACGCACTTAAAATATGGAGATAATAAAACTGGATTACAAGTACATTTTTATATTCCCAAATTTAATTGTTACAACTATTTGTTTGTACCAGTTTTCTTTCCAAGCAAACTATTTATGAGCCATTATCTTATAGATTGTCCAAATAGTTAGCTGTAAGCTTTTGGGTAATATTAGTCTTAAATACTTAGAGGAGAATTCCCTTTCCTCTGCATTCATACATTCACTGACTTCCAACATTAAAAAAAAAATACCTCCTATGTGCCAAGAAAAACCTGATAAAATCCTTGCTCTTGTGGAGCTTATATTCTAGTAGGGAGTGTTGTTAATAAGTAAACAAACCAACATAATATAATTTCAGAAGTAATATGACAGGATAAGAAGATGAAGAGTGATAAGTGAGGAGACTCTTTTTATAAGGACAGTCCAGGAAGGCAGTGACATTTGAGCAGGCACTGAATGAAGTGAGGAGCAAGAGGAAATTGCTGACCTTTTTTTCTTTCCAATTTAGTCTTGAGGTCTCCCTCCAAGGAGTGGCTATAAACTCTAGCCCTACCCTAATGAGACTCCAGGAATTTGGTCCTAGATGTTTACAGTTTGCCTTTCACAAGATACTTCTTGAACCTTGTGGACAGCCTAATGCCACCGTGTCAGACCTGTGATCAGGTGTCCCTCACACAGGATAATTGTTCACACCAGCAGATGTCCTTGTGGCTTTTGTTTGACCTGTGCCCAGTTTATTCCTGCCAAGACAGTCATTCTCTACGAGAGCACTGAACAGGAAAGAAGTTAGATTCTAGTTTGTTAGGTGAGACACAGAGGAGGCAACTTAAGATATATGAAATAGCAGAAGCAATGTATTACTTATAAATCCCAGAAAGAAGAGAACAGCACACCTTGCAGGGCCAATGGGAAATGGGGAGTTGTCTGGGACATGTGCCCAAGCAGCAGGTGGAGAGCAAGAAAGACAGTGAGGGACTTGTAGGTCAAAGCCTTTACTGGAGTCCATGGTGTTACCAAGGTAGGTTTCCCATGGGGAGTTATAATTTGTGGGTTTAGAGCAAGCAGGCATGAGTTCCATGGGATCACGTGACTGAGAAGTAGTCATGGTGGCATAACTGTGCAGTCCATGGGGCATGTGGGCTCAGCGGTAGAAGTCAAACAGGCTGTATTTAGCTGTCTCATAGGAAAATGGTCACCAGGAGACGGTTGTATAAGGTAGATATCTGGATTAAACACATTGAAGAAATGAGAGAAGACAAAAAACTGGAACTGTATCAAGGATAACAAAGCCCAGCTTCTGGTATGAGCAAGTTTAACTTATAATCAAAGTGAATGCCAAGGCACCATAAAATTATAAGAAATCACTACAGAGGGCTGGGTGTGGTGGCTCATGCCTGTAATCCCAACACTTTCACAGAGGGCTGGGTGTGGTGGCTCATGCCTGTAATCCCAACACTTTGGGAGGCCGAGGCGGGTGGATCACCTGAGGTCAGGAGTTCAAGACCAGCCTGACCAACATGGTGAAACCCCGTCTCTACTAAAAATACAAAAATTAGCCGGGCGTGGTAGCAGGCGCCTGTAGTCCCAGCTACTTGGGAGGCTGAGGCAGGAGAATCGCTAGAACCCAGGAGGCATAGGTTGCAGTGAGCTGAGATGTGCCACTGCACTTCAGCCTGGGGGACAGAGCGAGACTCCATCTACAGAGAGATCATTCTTGGCATAGAGAAAAGGAAAAAAAGTTTATTGATATGAAAACTAAATTGTGATTATGAAGAAGAGCAAAGACGTATATTTTCCTGAAGTAGAGTGAGCTAGGGGTAATATGGCAGGAATTGACTTAGAGCAAAAGCTATGGGGTAGTTAATGTAGGTTTTTGTTTTGTATTATTATATGTATTTTTAGATGAGAGCAAGAATTTGAAGTTTATTCTGATGTGATCAAGAGGTTGGGTTTTTTTAGTATACAATTAATCATGTTTTGAAACTTTTTAAAATTATTATTTAAAGTAGCCCCCAAAAATATTTTAAATTCAATAAACTTACTATATTTTGTGACAACAAATAACAGACAATATAAATAATTTTCTAGCATTTTATCTATGTATGATATAATTGATTTAGATATTATTATATAGGTAAAAATGTATCATAAACGTATTGAATCAAACACATGTATCATTTATAGGCTATTTACTTTTTGCATTTATTTTGTAATATAGGTTAATAAGCCAACCTTCATTTCATACCTAGAGATGGATTAGGCAATTTAAATTTTAGTGGTGACTTGCTGCCTTGCTTTATGTCCTGCTCATATGGTTTTATAAACCTAAGAAGGACTTTTAAAAAAATGGTTTCTAGGATATACTATTTCTACATTCCATAGTTCTAACCATGTGGATTTATCATGGCAAATTCTTTTAACATTTCCTAACAATATCTTAAGTAGTGGAGCGTAACAAAAATGTGCTGCTAGGGAAATGCTAACTTACTGGCATGTGCTATAGGAGATTTTCTTTTTGTTACTTCTTCCAAGATTTATAAGTGTGGTTATGATGGTTTGATTCATTTGAATGATGACAGGCTAAAAGTCCAATACAGTCTTTTCTTCTGTATAAAACCAAGTAAGTTGTCCTCCTTTCAAACCCTTTTGTCTATGGAATGCTTACCTTTTAGAATTATTTTCACGAAAAGCAATTCCTCATGTGATGCTAAAAATAACATTGTTCAGTTCATGTTAATAGTGGATTAAACTCTGAAAACTATTATAAGGATTTGGCTTACATAAGAATTAGAAAAGTAAAAGAAGAAATACCTGAGACTCAAAATAAATATTTCTTGTAGGACTATTTTCTAATGGAGTATGGATTGTGTGATTATCATATAATATTATTTATATCCTCTAGAGTGAAAAATCTGTCCTGGAAAAGCAGTACTTTGCTACATGTTTGACTGTTGTAAAGCCATAGTCTATTTCTATATATATATATAAATATGCAATTACATATAACAAATAACAAAGTAAGATGATATGATAAATATCTAATGATATATGATATATTATATATATCATATTATATATATTATATGTAAGCCATTACATATATGTTCTGCTTATATATAAACAATTACATATGTATAATTGTACACTTATACATATGTATATATATGTATTATATACTTATTCAAATGTATATATATATGCTTATATATAAGCAGTTAAGATGTATCATACATAAACAATAGCCTACTTAATTTTACATTATTACATGCTTTTGGTGATAAAAAATAAAATATATTAGAAACCATAAAAGGTACCATAGCAAATTTTCAAAACAACCATACAGGCTGGTACAAACTCATACTTCCAACCATGTTGGAGTAACCGATAGCAGACATTCCATCTCCTTTTTAAATAAAAAGGAAACTGAAACATATATTTTTAAAAAGTGTTTTAGATATTGGTAAGCAGGCGGCCCAGGACTGTGATTCATGAGTGAAAGGAACCAAACAAGGAAAGTCCTAGTACTGCTTCAAGTATATCCCTGCAAAACCCTTTCAGATATAGTATAAAGATCAACTTTTTAAGAGAAAACATAATTATGATGATTAGGGAAATAAAAGCTAAACAATAGCCTGTAATCCCAGGACTTTGGGAGGCCAAGGCAAGTGGATGACCAGAGGTCAGGAGTTCGAGACCAGCCTGGCCAACATGTTGAAACCCTGTTTCCACTAAAAATACAAAAATTAGCTGAGTGTGGTGGCATGCACCTGTAAACCCAGCTACTCTAGAGGCCTAGGCAGGAGAATCACTTGAACCCGGGAGATGGAGGTTGCAGTGAGCCGAGATCATGCCACTGCACTCCAGCCTGGGTGACAGAGCGAGACTCCATCTCAAAACAAAAACAAAAACA
This sequence comes from Homo sapiens, assembly GCF_000001405.40. Taxonomy (NCBI): domain Eukaryota; kingdom Metazoa; phylum Chordata; class Mammalia; order Primates; family Hominidae; genus Homo; species Homo sapiens. The sequence goes on from NC_000013.11 coordinate 83,170,235, forward strand.
AAAAAACTAAATGATAAAAACTCTGTTGTAAAAAATTTACTGGATAGATGGATAGATATCTGAGAAATATAAATAATGTTAAAGAAAATATCAGTGACTAACTCAAGGCATACTAAAAGACAATTCTATCTGGCAAGATTTTTTAGACATGGAGAAGACACATATAACAAACATGATTGATAAAAAATGGACATCACTACAGATGTTGAAGGTAACAAAAATAAGATGATATGATAAATATCTAATGATATATTTAAGAAATTTGGAAACTTACATAACAAAGGAAATAAATCTAGAAAAATGAAACGAACCAGAATTGCCTAAAGAAGAAATAACAGATCTTAAAAAGTACTTATCAATAATAAATTGACTATGTAATAATTTTGAAATACCTCTCCCACTGTCACTCTTATGCAAATTCCAGGTCCAAGTGATTTCACTAGTTAGATATGACAAAAGTGAATAAAAAATAATTTCAAAATTACAAAATCTATTTTTGACAATAGAAGAACATTTGTAATTTAGAAATTATTTTGTTACTAAATAGAATAGAGAATATAAAAGTCATGGACTTTTCCCAACTCTTGTTATATAATCTTGAATCAAAACATGGAAGAGACAGTAAAACAGGGTCATTATAGGTCAGTCTCACTATATGTCAAACAGAATACAAAAACTAAAATTGTAGCATATATAAAAGAGCCATGTTTTTTAGGAATGCATTTTAATCTGGACAAAAAGATATATTTAGAAAATTTTTAAAGTCATATTTTCTGAAGAAAAATAAGTACTTGCAAAAATACTAAATTCACACCATAATTTTAAATATTTTAGTCAGGTGTAGACACTTACTTAACTTAGTATAGTTTATCTACAAAGCCTAAAGCAGATACGTCTAAATAGTAGAATTTTCTTTGAAATAGAAAATAAAGACACTCAATAGGAGGTACCAAGATGGCTGAATAGGAACAGCTCCAGTCTATAGCTCCAAGCATGAGTGACACAGAAGACTGGTGATTTCTGCATTTCCAACTGAGGTACAAGGTTCATCTCACTGGGGCTTGTCGGACAGTGGGTGCAGCCCATGGAGCATGAGCCAAAGCAGGGCAGGGCATCGCCTCACCTGGGAAGTGCAAGGGGTCGGGGAATTCCCTTTCCTAGCCAAGGGAAGCAATAACAGACTGTACCTGGAAAATTGGGACACTCCCACCCTAATACTGCACTTTTACAATGGTCTTAGCAAATGGCACACCAGGAGATTATATCCCACACCTGGCTCCGAGGGTCCCACGCCCACGGAGCCTCACTCACTGCTAGCACAGCAGTCTGAGATCAAACTGCAAGGCAGCAGCAAGGCCAGGGGAGAGGTGTCTGCCATTGCTGAGGCTTGAGTAGGTAAACAAAGTGGCCGGGAAGCTTAAACTGGGTGGAACCCATTACAGCTCAAGGAGCCTGCCTCTGTAGACTCCACCTCAGGGGGCAAGGCATAGCTGAATAAAAGGCAGCAGAAACTTCTGCAGACTTAAACATCCCTGTCTGACAGCTTTGAAGAGAGTAATGGTTCTCCCAGCATGGAGTTTGAGATCTGAGAACGGACAGACTGCCTCCTCAAGTGGGTCCCTGACCCCGGAGTAGCCTAACTGGGAGGCACCTCCCAGTAGGGGCTGACTGACACTTCATACGGCCAGATGCCTCTCTGAGATGAAGCTTCCAGAGGAAGGATCAGACAGAAACATTTGCCGTTCTGCAATATTTGCTGTTCTGCAGCCTCCGCTGGTGATACTCAGGCAAATAGGGTCTGGAGTGGGCCTCCAGCAAACTCCAACAGACCTGCAGCTGAAGGTCCTGACTGTTAGAAGGAAAACTAACAAACAGAAAGGACATCCACACCAAAACCCCATCTGTACGTCACCATCATTAAAAACCAAAGATAGATAAAACCACAAAGATGGGGATAAACCAGAGCAGAAAGCTGAAAATTCTAAAAATCAGAGCACCTCTTCTCCTCCAAACGGATGCAGCTTCTCACCAGCAATGGAACAAAGCTGGTTGGAGAATGACTTTGACAAGTTGAGAGAAGAAGGCTTCAGACGATCAGTAATAACAAACTTCTCTGAGCTAAAGGAGGATGTTCGAGCTCATCGCAAAGAAACTAAAAACCTTGAAAAAAGATTAGACGAATGGTTAACTGGAATAAACAGCATAGAGAAGACCTTAAATGACCTGATGGAGCTGAAAACCATGGCATGAGAACTACATGATGCATACACAAGCTTCAGTAGCCAATTTGATCAAGTGGAAGAAAGGGTATCAGTGATTGAAGATCAAATGAATGAAATGAAGCGAGAAGAGAAGTTTAGAGAAAAAAGAGTAAAAAGAAATGAACAAAGCCTCCAAGAAATATGGGACTATGTGAAAAGACCAAATCTACGTCTGATTGGTATACCTGAAAGTGACGGGGAGAATAGAACCAAGTTGGAAAACACTCTTCAGGATATTATCCAGGAGAACCTCCCCAACCTGGCAAGACAGGCCAACATTCAAATTCAGGAAATACAGAGAAAGCCACAAAGATATTCCTCGAGAAGAGCAACTCCAAGACACGTAATTGTCAGATTCACCAAATTTGAAATGAAGGAAAAAATGTTAAGAGCAGCCAGAGAGAAAGGTCGGGTTACCCACAAAAGGAAGCCCATCAGACTAACAGCAGATCTCTCAGCAGAAACTCTACAAGCCAAAAGAGAGTGGGGGCCAATATTCAACTTCTTAAAGAAAATAATTTTCAACCCAGAATTTCATATCCCCCCAAACTAAGCTTCATAAGTGAAGGAGAAATAAAATACTTTACAGACAAGCAAATGCTGAGAGATTTTGTCACCACCAGGCCTGCCTTACAAGAGCTCCAAAAGGAAGCACTAAACATGGAAAGGAACAACCTGTACCAGCCACTGCAAAAACATGCCAAATTGTAAAGACCATCGATGCTAGGAAGAAACTGCATCAACTAACGGCAAAATAACCAGCTAATATCATAATGACAGGATCAAATTCAAACATAACAATATTACCTTAAATGTAAATGGGCTAAATGCTCCAATTAAAAGACACAGACTGGCAAATTGGATAAAGAATCAAGACCCATTAGTATGCAGTATTCAGGAGACCTATCTCACGTGCAGAGACACACATAGGCTCAAAATAAAGGGATGGAGGAAGATCTACCAAACAAATGGAAAACACAAAAAAAGGCAGGGGTTGCAATCCTAGTCTCTGATAAAACAGCCTTTAGACCAACAAAGATCAAAAGAGACAAAGAAGGCCATTACATAATGGTAAAGGGATCAATTCAACAAGAAGAGCTAACTATCCTAAATATATATGCACCCAATACAGGAGCACCCAGATTCATAAAGCAAGTCCTCAGAGACCTACAAAGAGACTTAGACTCCCAGACAATAATAATGGGCAATTTTAACACCCCACTGTCAACATTAGACAGATCAATCAGATATAAAGTTAACAAGGATATCCAGGAATTGAACTCAGCTCTGTACCAAGCGGACCTAATAGACATCTACAGAACTCTCCACCCCAAATCAACAGAATATACATTCTTCTCAGCACCACATCGCACTTATTCCAAAATTGACCACATACTTGGAAGTAAAGAACTCCTCAGCAAATGTAAAAGAACAGAAATTAAAACAAACTGCCTCTCAGACCACAGTGCAATCAAACAAGAACTCAGGATTAAGAAACTCACTCAAAACCACTCAGCTACATGGAAACTGAACAACCTACTCCTGAATGACTACTGGGTACATAAGGAAATGAAAGCAGAAATAAAGATGTTCTTTGAAACCAATGAGAACAAAGACACAAACATACCAGAATCTCTGGGACACATTTAAAGCAGTGTGTAGAGGGAAATTTATAGCACTAAATGCCCACAAGAGAAATCAGGAAAGATCTAAAATTGACACCCTAACATCACAATTAAGAGAACTAGAGAAGCAAGAGCAAACACATTCAAAAGCTAGCAGAAGGCAAGAAATAACTAAGAACAGAGCAGAACTGAGGGAGATAGAGACACAAAAAACCCTTCAAAAAAATCAATGAGTCCAAGAGCTGGTTTTTTGAAAAGATCAACAAAATTGATAGACTGCTAGCAAGACTAATAAAGAAGAAAAGAAAGAAGAATCAAATAGATGCAATAAAAAATGATAAAGGGGATATCACCACCAATCCCACAGAAATAAAAAGTACCATCAGAGAATACTATAAACAACTCTATGCAAATAAACTAGAAAATCTAGAAGAAATGGATAAATTCCTGGACACTACACCCTCCCAAGACTAAAGAACGAAGAAGTTGAATCCCTTAATAGACCAATAACAGGCTCTGAAATTGAGGCAATAATTAATAGCCTACCAACCAAAAAAGTCCAGGACCAGACTAATTTACAGACGAATTCTACCAGATGTACAAAGAGGAGCTGGTACCATTCCTTCTGAAACTATTCCAATCAATAGAAAAAGAGGGAATCCTTCCAAATTCATTTTATGAGGCCAGCATCATCCTGATACGAAAGACTGGCAGAGACATAACAAAAAAAGAGAATTTTAGACCAATATCCCTGATGAACATAGATGCAAAAATCCTCAGTAAAATACTGGCAAACCAAATCCAGCAGCACATCAAAAAGCTTATCCACCACAATAAAGTTGGTTTCATCCCTAGGATGCAAGGCTGGTTCAACATATGCAAATCAATAAATGTAATCTAGCATATAAACAGAACAGCGTATAACAGTTAATGGGTGCAGCACACCAATATGGCATATGTATACATATGTAACAAACCTGCACGTTGTGCACATGTACCCTAGAACTTAAAGTATAATAAAAAAATAAATAAATTAAAAAAAAGAAAAGAAAGACACTCCATATCACTTCTATATGAAGTTGTGATTAAGTATTGGCAAGTTCAATATGGTTAAAAAAAAGGAATATATGTATATTAAAAACTTCGTTCTCAAAAGATGTGATTGTGTCTTTATGAAGTCCATAAGTATCCATATATTAAGTATTAGAATTAATAAGAGTATGACAAAATCACTAGATATTAAATTACTACACAAAATTCAGTTGCATTTTGACTGTCTACAAATGTAATATTTTGATTGATATAATGCAGAATAACTAAAATATGAAATATACACATATACATTTTTTAAATTTGTAAGACATAAAAATGTAAACCTCTGATAGCTGTATTAACAGAGTTCATTAATTTAATTGGCATAACATGTTCATATTTTAACACCACACATTAGGAGATATCAAGTACTATCAAATTGTTCAATAGATTTATTGAATCTGAGCCAAAATAACAAAAATTGTAGAAATTTGTAAGCTTCTTCTAACGCATATATTAAGACGTATGAATCAAGTATAGTGAATACTATAATATACAAGATTTAAGAATTTTATTTGCAAAGTATCCAGATACACAGGTAAACCTTGGAGATATTGTGGATTCAGTTCCAGACCACCCCCATGTAGCAAATATTGCAATGAAGTGAGTCGCAGAAATGTTTTCATTTCCTAGTGCATATAAATGTTACTTTACACTTTGCCATAGTCTATTACATGTGCAATAGCATCATGTCTAATAAACTAATATATATGTACCTTAATTGAAAATTCTTTATTGCTAAAAAATATGGTAACCATCATCTGAGCCTTCGGTAAGTCATAATCTTTTTGCTGGTACAGAGGCTTTCCTTGATATTGATGGCTGCCAACTGAACAGGGTGGTTGTTGAATATTCCGGGGGCTGGGGCAATTTCTTAAAATAAGACAGCAATAAAGTTTCTGCATTGATGCATCAATTGACTCTTCCTTTCACAGTAGATTTCTCTATAGCATGCAATGCTATTTGATAGCTTTTTAACCACATTAGAACTTCTTTCAAAATTAGTCAATCCTCTCAAATCCTGCAGCTGTTGTATCAACCAAGTTTATGTAATACTATAAATCCTTTCTTATTTCAACAATTTTCAGAGCATCTTCACTAGGAGTAGATTCCATGTCAAGAAACTACTTCTTTGGCTAATTCATATGAAACAACTTCTTTTTCATTCAGGTTTTTAGATGACATTGTAGCGATTCGATCACATCTTCAGGTTTCATTTCTAATTCTAGTTCTCTTCCTTTTTCCACCACATCTGCAGTTACTTCCTCCACTTACGTCTTGAACTCCTGAAAGTTATCCATGAAGGTTAACATCAACATCCTCCAACTCTTATTAATGTTGATATTTTGCTAAAACAAAATTCAGTTTAAAATCATGAATTCAAAGTAAAACCATACCTTCTATTTCACTTTTTTAAAAAAACATTTTATTTATTTATTTTTTTGAGACACAGTCTCACTCTGTCTCCCAGGCTGGGGTGCAGTGGCGTGATATCGGCTCACTGCAAGCTCCGCCTCCCGGATTCACGCCATTCTCCTGCCTCAGCCTCCTGAGTAGCTGGGACTACAGGCGCCTGCCACCAAGCCTGGCTAATTTTTTGTATTTTTAGTAGTGACGGGGTTTCACCGTGTTATCCAGAATGGTCTCGATCTCCTGACCTCGTAATCCACCCACCTCAGCCTCCCGAAGTGCTGGGATTACAGGTGTGAGCCACCACGCCCGGCCCTATTTCACTTTTGTACACACAAACTCATAAAAAATTGCATAGGCATTCTCTAATAGTTGTTCCTTGATTTACATGGACTGATATTTAAGATAATATTCATCCTTACAAAAGAGCATATTATGTGGCAGATCCATGTTAGTGGAACTGGGCTATTTCAAACTTTAAGGTTAAAAAGAAATGTAGATCACTGTATCTGCCTTTCTGTCTTACACAATTATTTCAAGATTAATATTGTCTAAAACACTTTTAGTTTAGAATTTATGTTTTCTCAAATATGCACAATCAAGAGCTTTAGAATATAGACCTCTTTTGAAATATAAATCACTGAACAATTTTATGTAAAAATCTAATATAATAATATAGGAGATAGAGATACTGGCAAGAGAATGCACAGTATTTAATTATTTAAGTTACTTGATTAATTTTTCCAACTTTTATTTTCCTATTTGATATAGTTTTGAAGGAAAACATAATAATAGCAAATATATATATACATAATGTGTTAAAATAGGCTGGCAGTAATCAAGATACCTATGAAAACAAGACGTGGGTTTCACAAAAAGTTCAGAAAATTCTTATAAAGGAAATTATGAACCTCATGTACAATACGAATGAGTATTAAGGGGAAGACACTTCTTGCTTGGGGAATTTGAGGTCGGGAGAGTAGAAATGCCGTCAGTAATCTTGCGGGATGTTAAAATTAGCTCATCTCTGGGACTCTCTTCCCATCACTTAGAGAAAGGAAGAAGTACAGGAAAGAGTTTGTGTTTATGGATTTATCATGCTCATTTCTATACTTACTCTATTTGAGTCTGTAAGCAAATTTCTTTAGATAAATACCTTATAGCAGCATATTGTGGGGAAAAACTTTTCGATGATTTGTTGAACAGACCAAGAAGAGGGAGCTTCAACTGAGTGTATCAAGAATACATGCCATATTTAGCTACTGCAACATGCATTTTATGAAAAACAATTCTTATTGTTATTTTTCTACTTGTATTTAAATATCTACATCAATTTTTAGATAACAAAATCAACTTTTAATTACTTGATAATATAATACAGTCTTCAGTGAATAAATATGACTGGAACCTGAGATACTATCATACTAACATTTTATAACAAAAATATATTTGTCATTGTGAAGTAGCTTTTTTAATAGACTGAGTAAAGTAAAAGTATTTTTATTGTGTGTGTCATCTTCCAGAAACTATTGTAATTTTTCATTTTTATATACATTTACTCTTGTATAGAGGATATGTTATGACTATAAACCTCTGACTAAAACTTAATTCAAGTTTACATTCAGTACATATCTCAGATACATAGCACCATAGAATATGTGACAACTTTTCTCTTTTAAACAAGATTCTGTCAAGTGTCTGCAGACAAAATACAGATGTGAATTCATCTGAAGGCAATAGATGCCATCTTCTGCATGTGTGCGTGTATATATATATATATGTGTATATATATATGTATATATGTATATATATGTATATATACATATATATATATATATATAGTCTTTTTTACTCTTAGTTTCTTCTTTTCTTTAGTTAGCTTCACAGTTTTATGACTGTTAGTCACAGAAAGAACATGACTCAAATAGCTGGGTTCAAAGCTTTATGTGTGAATTGCCATGACATTTCTTTATTTTGTCATTTTTCAACTTTGCATTGAAATCTAACAAACATACAGAAAATTACATATAATCAATCTTCAGTTTCGTAAATTTACGTAAACTGAACATACCACTGTAGTCAGCTCCTAGATAAGTAAACAATACACCTAGCACTATCCATCCCACCTGCCCCCTGTTGCTCAGCCCCTAACATTCCTTCAATAATATCATTACTGATTTTGAGTATATTTTGAACAGTCCTACCTGTTTTTATATTTTATGTAAAGAAAATCCTATAACATGAACTTATTTGTATTTGACTTCTTTTGCTCAATATTATCTTTGGGAGATATATTCATATTGCTGGATGTAGATTAAACTATTCATTCTCATTGCTGAATAATAGTTTATTGCATATGTGTATCATAATTTATTCCTTTTAATGCTGATGTGTATTTGGATATTCTGAATTTTTTACCATTTTTTTAGACTTGCCACAAGGATTCTTGCACATAACTTTTGTCGAATATTTAAACACTCTTCTATAGGTTATCTGCTAAGGATAGGAGTTTCTGGGTTACAGAGAATGTATTTATTTAGCATTAATATCTACTAAAAACAATTTTCCAAAGTGATTATACAATTTACACTTTCACTGGCAGTGTATGAGAGTTCTAGTAGGTCTACATATGGGTAAACGCTTGACATTTTCAGTCTTTATTTTTCATTCTGTGTAAAAGAGCAATAGTACTTCTGTGCTTAAACTTATGTTTCCCTTACAATTGAGTTTAAGCATATTTTTAGATGTTAAGTGGCCACTAGAATACAGTGTTTTGAAGTGTTTATTACTGTCTTCTTCTGGTTTTTTAATTATGCTGTCCTGTATATGTACATGTATCTGTGACTCCATCAACTTTTCACTCTCTTAAACGTAACTTTTGAAAAACACATATTTTAATCATAATATACTGCAAAGTTTCAATATTTTATTTCTGATTAGTGGTTCTTGTGTCTTGCTTAAGAAATCATTGATAAGTTATCAGATATGTTCCCTTAAATTTTCCTCTAAAATCTTCAATTTAGCTTTCACATTGATATCCAAAATCCATCAAGAATTTAGTACATTATGGTGTGAGACAGGAATCATTTATTTTTATATGGATATCTAATTAATTCACAACTATGTATTAAAAAATACATCTTCCCTCCACACAATTCCATTGGTGCCTTTGTCATAATTCGAGTGATTGTGTAGTTATGGTCCTGCTTTTGGATTCTTGTGTTTCCTTGATCCTCATACCAAAACCACAATGTCTTAATTAATATAGTATTAAAATTGTTTCTGATATTTAGTACCCTACAGCTTAATCTTCTCTATTAAAATTGCCTTAACGAATGCTGGCTCTTTCTTTGTCCATATAAATTTTGGAATTATTTTATCAATTTCCATAAATTTTGATTTAAATTGTTTGGAATGTATAGATTAATTTAGGGAGAAATAATAACTCAACTGCATCCACTGTTTTACTCTATTCACATTGTATAATTCTTCATTTACTTAATTTAATGCATTTAATGTATTCTTTTCAGATTTTTTGTTTTCTCTCATCTCATTTGTGAAAAATGTTGTTAGTCCTTCTAAAGCATTATGCTTATTATTTTATTCTGTCTTGTTCCTCTTTACAAGACTCATAGTAATGTGCTCAAAGAGTTCTTAAAGCAAACAACCCTGTCTTATTTACAATAAGAGGGAAAGTTTTGATGATTCCGTTGTAGGATGTTTGCTAAAATTATAAGTTTGTATTGAGTTCGCTAAGAAATGTTATGAATTTTATGTATCTATTGAGACGATGATATGACTTTACCTTAATTTATTTTGAAATTTTAATCTGATTTTGGAAACTAACATAAACCTCACTTCACGTTATATTGATACTTCATCTTCTCTTCTATATCACCGGATATATTTTACTAAAATTCTGCTTATTCTTTTTGCACGTATTTAAATAATTGATTGTCCTATACTTTTCTTTTTAAAATTGAGGGAACAAGAACACCATGTTATTTATAAAATAAATTGCTCCTTTGAAAATACCTTTTTATACTAGAAAGAACACTTATATAAAGGCCATTTTTTTCCTTTAGACTTACAGTGCAGTTTATAACATAAACCATACATACACACATTTTTATATCTATTTATATCTATTTCTGTATCAGTCAGGTAGGACTAGGCTTATTGTGCACTAGCAAACAACATCTGAATATTACTGGTTTAAACAATAAAAATTCACTTCTTGCTCATGCTATAGTACCACTGAATGTTTTCTTGTAGACTCTGCTCTACCATCTATACTGAGAAAGGGGCTTTCAATGTAGCATTGCAGGCCACTGGTTCTAAAGTAAAGCAAATATAGCATATCATGCACTGGCCAAAAAATTTCACATGATCACACCTATTTTGACACAGCAGGGGACTTCAACTCCATTATGTATTGCAAAGAAGGAGAAACAAAACAGTCACACACACACACACACACACACACACACCCCATCATCATCACCTCCTTCCTTGATTTTCTAAACATACATTTGAAAAAGTAATTGGATTTTTCTTTGCTATATAATTCCAATTGTTCTCTTACCTCACTACGTATATTCTGCTTCAGTTATTCTATTTAAACTGTTATGAGACCACTATTGATTTAACTGTTAAGCTGACTGCAAGCTTTTGAGTATAATCTTATTTAATCACTTTTCAATACCAGCTAATATTGACTATCCTTCCTTTTTGGAAAAAAAAAAAACATTATTTTGTTCTTATTCTCCTCTTTTTACACCAATTTTGGCTTCTCTCCATAGTTCTTAAACAGTTTCCCAGCTCCTCCCTCTCTGGCATATTTTTCTTCTCACTCTATATATGGTCAAATTGATCTAGACCCAACAATAATATATAAGTGAAGGCATAAATACATATATATACATATATATGTTTGTGTGTGTATATGTGTGTGTATATATACACACACATATAGCCTAGATCACTCTTTAAAAATCCATGGTTTACATCCAAATGTCTCCTGAATCATTCAACTTATGTGAAATTACCAGACTTAAAATAAATTACCAGACTTAAAATAAATCACATCTCACTAGATGTGCCTTTGTTTTCCTTATAGTATTTTTTGGCTAATCTAAAAATCCAGTTTTATTATCTTACATCTTTACGTACAAGTAGGAAAGTCCTTTTCTTTTTCCATCTAATTATCTAGAACTCTAGCTTTCCTGCCAACATCACTGTCTTTGCCATTATTCAAGGTTTACTAACTCTCATCTCATTTCTCACTCTGAATGCCTCTTTTTTCCTCCTTTGAATTTAGGACAGTTACTCTCCAATTGCCAACTTGTCTTCTGGACTTCTCTTTTAAAATGTAGCTTGTTCATTACACTCAAGCTCATTCCTTACCCTAGCAAGAAAGGGATTTGTGCTTAGGCCTCAAATTTGCCTGCCTATCTCTTTGCAGGAGGCATTGAGTTGTAGAAAGGAGAGTTTTTTTCCAGAGGTACCAATAATTAAAATTTATCATGAGAAAATGATTACTCTCTGGTGACCCAATAGCTCTGACTTTTTTTCTTCTACTTTTTGAAAGATTTTCTTATCTATCACCAAATAAAGTTTTATGAGCATTAAACTAAGTTATTCATGTGAAAGACTAAATAGTCTAAGTCATAATGGGCTCTTAATAAATGCAATTACCTGCTGACACTTCGTCAAGAATGTTCTTATTCCTTATCATATCAGGTTACTTTCAGATCACTGAGTAGATAATCCTTTTAATTTATCTATGTCTTTGTTAATGTTGTCTCTTATTCCTGGTATGTACTTCTTAATTTTAAGGGGCAGGGGTGTGACAAATTTGTATTCTTTGAACAAATAATGTTTCATTTTTATTTCTTTTGTGGTGATTATTTTCTTTATACATAGTCTTTGTTAAAAATTTTTCTCATATTGTATGTTGAGTGTAACTAGCAGGTTCTACTTTACAACTATTTCCAAATTAAAACAAAAATAAAATAATTATATTGGTCTATCAGTTTATCAAATACAGGAATTTTATTTTACTAAACAGTTACAAAAGTGATTACATATTATATATATATTTATATATATGTGTATGTGTGTATGTTTGTATTCAATGTATGCTTATCTAATGATTGACAACATTTCACTGATTGAATGACCTACTTAATATATGAATGAATGTGTTACAGGAGCCTTAGGGTGTCTTTTCTCCAGCTGGAAACCTCTGGGGTCAGTGGCGCCTTTTCCCGAGTTTTGCTTGGACCTCCTGGGTTCGTTCTGCCCACTCTGCCTGGCAGGCTGCACTCGGCTCATGCAGCTGCCTGGATCCCAAGCCTGCCAAGGGTGAGCAACGTGTGGAGCAGTGAGGGGTGTATATGCAAGTGAGCGTGGAGTCTGGCCACTGTGTAACAGCCAGGCACACCAGCTGTTGCTGCGGGGCAGGCAGCTCTAGGTGCCAGCACAGGTGCCTGCACCATGCAAGGCTGTGGCTGGATCAGATATAGTGCAAGTGGCTTCCGCTGTGGGCACCTGCATCTGGATAAGGGGAATGCAATGATACTTGGAAGCTTGGGGGCACCAGGAACCTCAGAGCCCAAAACAGGGTGTCACAGCCCTGCCTCAGAAGGGTCCTAGGTCTGGGCTGCCCAAAAGGCCACAGCTCTTCTCTCCTTCTCATCACCCGTAACATGGATTGCAGGAGGAGAGGGAGTGAGTTTCAGCCCTATTTTTGTTACAGCTCTTTTAGTCCTGCCATTTGGTGTGTCTCAATTTTTGGTCCCGCATACAGGAAGAATGAGGTAGGCAGACAACTGGAGCATGAGCAAGGCAGAGAGGAGCTTTATTGAGTAAAAGGACAACTCAGCGGAGACCCGCAGTGAATAGCTCCTTTCAGCAGTCAGGTCATCCCAACCAGTGAGTGAGTCTGGCTCAGTCTAGGGATTTTATGTGCTCTGAATGGAGTAAGTGCATGCTGATTGGTCCATGGGTGGCCACAGGCAGGCCTGGAAAAAGCACCATCCAATAGGCCGAACAGTCATCAATCAAGTTCTCACTCTAAGCTGTGAACTTCGCAGGCAACCGGCAGATAGCCCCCAGGCCTCAGGCCTTCACTGGCCTGAAAGTGAGGTTTCACTGTGGACCTGCGCCTTCCCACCTAAGAACCTGTCTGCCTTTAACATGCCATCCACAGCACCCAAGCTGGACATGCTGAGAGTTGCTTGCAGGCCTGGGCCGAGCCTCCTTCAGCACCCCTGGTCCCCGCGCATGCTCGTTGGCACCTAAAGGCCAGAGAGGGCTAAGATGGCAGGGGCTGGCATGTCAGAGCCACCCGAAGTGCATGTAAACCCAGCCGGGTTGCAACAGTGCCCTGGCTCTGCCACAACTTTGCTCCGTCCTGGAGCAGGGGTGGGAGCAGGCAGGGGCCAGGGAGTGGGAGCAGGCAATTTCAAGCCTGTGGGGCCAGGGGCTTCCTGGGCCCCGGAGAACAAAGGGATGCTGTGGTCTGGGCAGCAGTAGCTGTGCCCAGGAGCATGGGCTCCTGCCCCGCTAACTTGGTAGCGGGCAGGGCTCTCTCCCAATCCTGGCTCTCTCCCAATCCCCGCTCCTGCCCAATCCTGGCTCCCGCGGGCTCTGCAAAGCCTGCAGCCCTGGCGGCGCCTTACCTGCTGCAGCCAGCATCCTTGCAGTGGCTACTCCAGACCGGCTACCGCTGCCATCAGAAGTATATATTAACTGAGTGGTTAAAAATAAAGGATTTGAAAAATATGTTCCATCATCGTATTTCATGTTAAAATGTTATTATTTACCTGTCGATCCTAACACTTCTTCCTAATCTCACAATAATTTTTTCACTGGTTAAATGCGGTTAGAAAACAATTCCATTCTTAAATGTTTGAATTGTGATTGATAGTTTATTGAATTTGATAAATTGATCCATGACACAAAATTTTACCAAGCACTTATATACCCAGTATAATTTCAAGTAATTAGGGGCATATTCTTTAGTTTTGCTAACAATATCCCATCTACCTTTCTTGTTGTTATAATAAATTTGGTTTGTAAATTCTTAAATTATGTGGAATTATGTTTACAGGACTATATTTCTGCTTTAATATTGAAAGAGATATGAAAGTCATATATACGGTATTAAACTTTGTAATAGCAAAATTTTTCACAAGTATCGGATGTTCACATCTAAAACTGTTTTAAGACCATCTACTTAATTATTTTTTATATGTACTTAGAACCTAACTAAAAACAGGTTTAATTACATTCAAACATCCCCAGATATTCGTTTTGGAAGTTAAACTTCCCATATCTCCAAATAAACAGATAGTTAAGCAAAGCATGTTACTCATTTCAAAAATATTCATGAGGCAATAGGACATTTCTTGTGAAATAAGGATATAAGAGTTTTTGAAGAGAATATCTCCAGGCAGAATTTCAATGTATTTTTCAAACATCAGTTTCACATGACAGCCACTACCTTTAGATGCAGCCAAAGGGATTTTGAAATGAGAGATCTGAGTCTGGCACTTAAGTTAATCCTGCTATTTAGAATGCAGTTTTAGATCACATTTGGCGTTTGATAATCCTCAGAAACATCAGGTATCTATGTGCTTTGTGTTCATCTGATATCAATTATAAGAAAATAAAAACTTTTAATTGAAGGAAACTGATTAGAAAAAAAGACAGTAATTCATTTTCATCCTTTTGGAGAATATAAGTATTTATTTTATTCTGGTTAGGTTTCAGCAAGCGTAAGTTTGGACATGAAAAATTTTGCTACCATTGTGTACACTTAAAAGGATAATTTTGTATCATTCTCCTATGTATAGTTTTCTTCCTTAATAAAACATATTCAATACAAAGTTAACAATTTTTCTGTAAATTATAAATTAACTTCTGTTCTTTTGAATTGTCTTCAGCATCACCAATAAAAGTTGCCTTGTTGCTATAATCACCGTTCATGTTTAGCCATTACATTTATTGTCCAGTTGGTGTCTATATTAATAAAAACATTCTTAAAGTCGTTGGTTTATGTAACAAAACATTTCTAAAATAGTAGATCTAAAATATTTTGAGCAATGTTGTTATCATGGCAAAGAATATGCACTGTCTTCAAACTGATTAACGGATATTTAAAGGGTTTTCTTAAAATAACGTTAGTTATTTGTATTACATACTTTGTAAATTTGGCAATGGTAACAGCTTCCAAAGCAAAAATCATCTTATTTATATCAGGAAAGCCAAATGAGTAACCGAATTACAAATTGTGGACAAATTAACATTAGTTCACTAGACACATAACATGGATTAAGGGCAAGGGATACCCTACAGCATTAATGGAAATATCTGTATTCATTGAATCTAGTGTTGAGATGTGACATCCAATGAAAAGACATGGAAATATGTGACCTTTAGTGTAAATAAAATCATAGAAGAATAAAAGTATTTCGGCAGTATGAAGTTGCTAGAAAGCCATGTTTGAGAAAAATGGAAGAATTTAAGTATCACTCTTTCAGAGCCAGACAGAGAAAAATCATCACTGAAGACAGAGATGTCAAAGAAAATGTGTGTTCTCTTCTCAACAAGGATAAAGAAAGTGGTTTCTAATAATACCTGTTATTATTCTCAAAATTAAAGGACAATGTAACTAAGTAATAGCTGACCTTATGCTTTTCCCCCATTCAAGTAGTAAATTGTTTTTTGATGATAAAAAAATTTGTTTCTAAAGAGTTTTACTATAGAAAATATGGGAATTTGTTGAAATTAACCTACTGTATTCTCCCAAAGATAATGTTTATTATTCTGCCATCCTATAAAAATTTATCTTAGCAATGCAAATAGTTTACAGTGTTATTTTATTTATATTTTATTTAACTTTCAAAGAATTTATAGGAATAAGGCCAATTTTTATATTCTTTTCTTATATTCTTGGCTTAAAATATTCTAAATTTTTTATAATTGATATTTAAAAAGTTATATAATACAGATTGATATGGTTTGGCTGTGTCTCATCTTGAATTGTAACTTCCACAATTCCCACGTGTCATGGGAGGTGATTGAATTGTGGGGTGGGTCTTTCCTGTGCTGTTCTCATGATAGTGAATGAGTCTCATAAGATCCCATGGTTTTATAAAGGGGAGTTTACCTGCACAACCTCTCTTCTCTTGTCTGCCACCATGGGAGATCAGCCTTTCAACTTCCACCATGATTGTGAGGCTTCCCCAGTCACGTGGAACTGTAAGTCCATTATAAAAGCCTTTGTAAATTCCCCAGTCTCAGTTATGTCTTTATCAGTGGTATGAAAATGCACTAATACAGTAAATTAGTACCAGAAGTGGGGTGAGCTGGAAAGATACCCAAAACTGTGGAAATGACTTTGGGTAACAGGTAGAGGTTTGAACAATTTGGAGGGCTCAGAAAAAGACAGGAAAATGTGGGAAAGTTTGGAACTTCCTAGAGACTTGCTGAATGGATTTGACCAAAAGCCTGGTAGTGATATGGACAATAAGGTCCAGGCTGAGGTGGTCTCAGATGGAGATGAGAAAGTTGTTAGGAACTGGAGCAAATGTGACTCTTGTTATGTTTTAGCAAAGAGCCTGGTGGCGTTTTGCCCCAACCCTAGAGATTTATGGAACTTTGAACTTGAGAGAGATGGATTAGGGTATCTGGCAGAAGAAATTTCTAACCATCAAAGCATGCAAGTTGTGACTTGGGTGCTGTTAAAGGCATTCTGTTTTATAAGGAAAGCAGAGCATAAATATTTGGAAAATTTGTAGCCTGACAATGTGATAGAAAAGAAAAATCCCATTTTCTGAGGTGAAATTCAAGCTGGCTGCAGAAATTTGCATAAATAACAAGGATCCAAATGTAAATCCTCAAGATAATGGGGAAAATGTCTCCAGGGTATGTCACAGGTCTTCACAAAAGCCCTTCCCATCACAGGCCTGGAGGCCTAGGAGGAAAAAGTTGTTTTGTGGGCCAGGCACAGGTTCCCCATGCTGTGTGCAGGCTAGGGACTTGGTGCCCTGCATCCCAGCCACTCCAGCCATGGCTGAAAGGGGCCAACATAAAGTTCAGGCTGTGGCTTCAGAGGGTGCAAGCCCCAAGTCTTTATAGTTTCCATGTGGTTTTGAGCCTGTGAGTGCACAGAATAATTGGAGTTTGGGAAATTCCAGCTAGTTTTCAGAAGATGTATGGAAATGCCTGGTTGCCAAGGGAGAAGTTTGTCACAGGGGCAGGGCATTCACGGAGAACTTCTTCTAGGGCAGTGCATAAGGAAAATGTGGGGTCTCGTGGGGTCAGAGCCCTCACACAGACTCCCTGCTGGGGCACTGCCTAGTGGAGCTGTGAGAAGAGGGCCACTGTCTTCCAGACCCCAGAATGTTAGATTCAACAACAGCTTGCACTTTGTGCCTGGGAAAGCCACAGACACTCAATACCAGCCTATGAAAGCAACCAGCAGGGAAGCTGTACCCTGCAGAGCCACAGGGGTGGAGCTGCCCAAGACCATGAGAATGTACCTCTTGACTTAGTGTGACCAAGATGCAAGACATGCAGTCAAAGGAGATAATTTTGAAGCTTTAAGATTTAACTGCCTTGCTGGATTTCAGACTTGCATGGGGCCTGTAGCCCCTTGGTTTTGCCCCATTTCTTCCATTTGGAACAGCTGTATTTACCCAATGCCTATACCCCCATTGTATCTAGGAAGTAACTAACTTGCTCTTTATTTTACAGGCTCATAGGTGGAAGGAACTTGCCTTGTCTGAGATGAGACATTGGACTGTGGACTTTTGAGTTAATGCTCACATGAATTAATTCTTTGGGGGACTGTTGGGAAGACATGATTGGTTTTGAAATGTGAGGACATGTGGGTTGGGAGGGGCAGGTGTGGGATGATATGGTTTGGCTGTGCCCCCACCCAAATCTTGTATTGTAACTCCCACAATTCCCACATGTCATGGGATGTGATTGAATTATAGAGTAGGTCTCTCCCATACTGTTCTCATGATAGTGAATGAGCATCATAAGATCTGTTGGTTTTAAAAAGGGAAGTTTCCCTGCACAACGTCTCTTCTCTTGTCTGCTGCCATGTGAGATGTGCCTTTCATTTTCCACCATGATTGTGAGGCTTCCCCAGCCACATGGAACTATAAGTCCATTATAAACCTCTTTTGTAAATTGCCCAGGCTCAGTTATGTCTTTATCAGCATTGTGAAAACAGATTAATACACATATTTATAATTATTATTGATTGTTTCTCAATTAATAATAAATATAGCCAATGCTTTATAGAATATACTATAAAATATTTGCACATATTTTTGAGAGTAGTAAATTATCCTTATGCCAGAATTGATAGTATACACTAATTTTTTCCCCATTAATAGTCCCATTCTTTGCAACAATGACTATCCTCCACTTTAATTAGAACATTCTGTACAATTGATTGTTTTGGTTACTTATTGCTGTGTTAAAAATTATGCCAAGACTTAGTGGCTTAAAGCAGTGATTATATGGGTCAGAAATTTAACAAAGATTTCATGAGGCTTCTTTTCTTTTCATGACATCAGGTGAGAAGGCTGACTGAAGCCAGAGGGTAGCCTTTGAAGGTGGTTCACCAACCACTCACATGGCTGGGAGGTTTATATTGGCTACCACCTCAGACATCAGCTGGTAAACTCAAAAGTGTCTTCACTGGTATATATGAACTTCTCAGAGCAGGGAGGCTGAGTTTCAACATATAGGAAAATGTACATTGTCATTCTCTTAAGTCCTGGGCCTTAAAACTGACAAGATTATAACTTCTATTGGTCAAAGCAACCAAAAGAACCCACTCAGATTCAGAAGGAGGAAGCACAGGCCCTACATCTAATGCAAGAATGTCAGTAATCTCCCCTCAGTCATACTGATAATACACTGATAAGAATAAAATTAATTTTCAATCAGCCTGACTTCAAATAAAACAGTTGTGTTGCCAGATAGAAGAAGGTTTGGCTGAACAGAGATATTATTTAGCACATCTACTTTGCTCAGTCTGCTCTCTAAATTAGACCACTGACACCAATCCATGGCAGTGCCCTTGAGAAAACTTTTCTACTTTGCCCCTTTGGTGAACATTAGAATACTTCTAAGACACATAAAAGCAGGAATTTTGAGGTATAAGATACAAAAGAATCAGTGATTGTGAATAAAACTGGTGAATATTAGGAAAGCAATACCTTTGTTTCAAACACTTAGTGTTGACAACTGGATTCTGAGACCAAATAAGCCACACTTCTGACTTCTTACGGAAATTTCAGTTGTGTCAGTTAGTCATTTTGAAGCTATTTTCTACTTTTTTTTCTCTGCTTATAGGACAAAATACGATATATAAATTTTATTATTTCTTATTCTACACGATTTATTCTTTCCATCTATTTTTTGTGTTTTGTGGTTGTTATTGTTGTTTGAGGTTTCTGTTTTATCAGAAAACCTTTGGTTAGGACAATGACTAACTTTGTGTCTATGACTAAGAGCAAACTGTTGTGTGTTATCAAAAGTGAACATGCGTTGCCCATTGCTATGGATGTGTTTTGTTGTTGTTATTGTTGTTTGAGGTTTTTGTTTTATCAAAAAACTTTTGGTTAGGACAATGACTAACTTTGTGTCTACTACTAAGAGCAAACTGCTATGTGTTATCAAAAGCGAACATGCATTGCCCATCTATGGATGCATAACATATTGGAAATAACTGTAAATGTGTCATGTATAAAGTACATATTGTGTATATGATTATGAAAGTTCACAAGATGGATCTTGTGATTTATATGGAAATGAAAGTTAGGGAAATAGCCAAAACAAGTATAAAGAAGAAAGTCCACTCTATATTAATTTATAATTAATACACAGATACTGAATTAACCAGAGTGCTATAGGTCCAAGAATAGGCAAATTAATCAATAAAATAAATTCAAGATTCCAAAAGGAGACCTATATAAAATGGATCTTCATGCACTGAAAAGATAGCCCTTTAGAGTGGTGTAAAATAAAGTCTTTTAAAATAATGCTGTTGAATCAAATCAATTGCTATATAAAAAACCAATAAAGTATGAATGCTACCAACAATCATACACCAAACCTATTCTGAGTAGATTGTAGATTTTAAAATAGAAGACAAAAGAATACAGCTTCTAAAAATAGCATAAGAAAAAGTATCTAGTATCTTGAAATAGCCAATACCATCTTAAATAGGACACAGAACAGAACATGAAAAATAATGGAAGCACTATAGATTGACATGAATTAAAAATAAGAGCTACTAGTATTTAAAAATCATAATTGTATTAGTTTTCTATCATTATGTGATAAATTACCAAAAACCTTATGACTTAACAAAATGCATATTTGTAATCTCTGCGGATCAGAAGTTCAGGCATAATTTAGCTAACTGCTGTACTCAGGGGCTTACAAGTCTACAATCAATATATTAGCTGGGCTGCTGTCACACACAGAAGTTTGGAAAATCCTCTTACAAGCTCATTCAGACTGTTGTCAAAATTAATTCTTTCTAACTGCATGACTGAGGGTTCTGGCTTTTTTCTGGATAACTCATAGAAACTTCTCTCAAGTCACAAAAGCCACATACTGTTCCTCGCACTGTGGGCTTCTTCAACGTGGCTGCTCACTTCATCAAGCTAATAAGAATTTTTGATTCCACTTTAATCAAAATGTCTTACAAAATAACATAATCATAGGAGAGAGATCTCAATTCTTTGCCATGTAATATAACCTAATCAAACAAGTAGCATTTCATCTGCTTTGTTATTTTCTATCTGTAAAAAATAAGTTTAGGGAAGGGTAACCCAAAGGCATGGACACCTGGAAGTTGAAAAATCATTGGAAGTGACCTCAGCATCTGTCCACTGAAACCATCAAGGAAGTAAAAGTGCAAACCCTGGAGTGTAAGAAGATATTTATAATTGTTATAATTTACAATGAGTTTATTCTCAGATATGAAAAACCCCTATAAATGCATAATAAAAAGAGAAGTCCTAAGAGTACAATGGGCAAGAGAAAACACAAATAATACGATTAATATTCATTAATATTTATTAATATTATTTGTATATTAATATACAAATAATACAATGTCACAAATAATACAATTAAATATAATATTTTAAAAGCTCTCAAATATTACTTATTAAGGAAATTAAATTAATATCTCACTGAAAATACACTACAATGGCTTAAAAAATGGTTGCATGGACATGAAATAATGTTAATATTCTAACTCTCCTGTTAAGAATAAATTACCCACATAAGTGATCATAAATGCCTCCATTCATAGGTATATACCCAACAGTAATGCAGTAATCAATGCATTAAAAGTAATGTGTAGATATGTTTAATCATACTATGACTGGAAACTAGTCAAACAGTCAATAGGAAATTGAAAAAAATGCATTGCCTTATTACTTAAATAATTTTATATAACATTGAAAATAAATGGAATATTGCTACATGAAACAACATAATATTAATTGAAACATATCAGAAGCAAAAAGTAGATACAAGATTATTCCAGTCACATAAAGTTCAAAAGAATGAAAATGAATCCATAAAAGTATACTTAAATATTATAGTTATTTTGGGAAAATGTGATTAAATATTTATAGTCTTACTATTGTTATTTTTCTAAATTTATGTGGTGGTTGCATAGTTACATCAAGTTTTTGATAATTCATTGAGCCTCTCACGTAAGATTTGTGCCCTTTTTTTATGTTTGCTATACCTCAATTTAAAAAATTGATAAAGTAACTGTACACAAATTTATGCTCTGTTATTAAATTTTATTTATAGTTATATGTCTAAAGTGCATATTTTTAAAACTTCCGTGAATTTAATCATTTGTTGGTGAAATTTTTAAATGAAGACAGCATCTGTCTAATTTATAGAAATAACATTTTTATTATTTTGGGTAAATTGGTTCAGCAGCTAATTTGCAAAAATATCTTGGTGCCTTTTTCAAAGCATTCTAAAATATTTCATTATGTAAAAGCTAGCCATATTAAATTTTTCCAGAAAACCAATGCTATTACCTTAAATATGTCTTTTTAGGTAAATAAATCTCATACTTAAAGGAAGTTCTTGAAAACAAAAATAACAATGAAAGTAATTTTTGTAGCAAACAGTATTAAAAAGAAGTGAACATTTCTGGAAACAAAGCAAAATGAATAAATACGTACATTTTATTTTGCTCCAGAATTTAAACTTCAGTAGTTGTAATTTTAAAATTAATTTCTATAATGTTGACAATTGAAATATTTTTAAAGTGTTTGCCCATGGACTTTTAATAGAAAAATGTCCATAGAAATATGAAACTGTCTTTGTATAACTCAGTTTCAAGTTAACATGTTTATACGGTTTAAGAAAAAATATTTATTTGTTCAGAAATTTTAGTTAAGATAAATGGATAAACTTAATGTGCACTGCAACTCAGTTTCAATGCTAACATGTATTAAATTCTTATTTACCTGAATTTTATATATATTGACTCAATTATTCTTCCTGGAAACCCTATGAATTAGAATTAGAAGGTTTTGTCTTCATTACACGTAGAAACTGAAACTTAGATAAATTAAATAACTTGCCTCAAGCTACCCAACTTGGAAAGAGAACTGCTTTTTGAACCCAAACTGGTTGACCGTGACATTAAACTGGTTGACTGGCTGACATTAAACAAAAATCTAATAGCACATCAAAAGGATAATATACCACAGTCAACTGGATTTTATTGCAAAGGTACAAGGATGGTTCAACATATACACAAATTAATAAATGTGATGCACTACATAAACAGAATTAAAACCAGAATCCAGATGATCACCTCAATAGATGCAGAAACAGCATCTGATAAAATATAGAATTCCTTTATGATAAAAACCGTCAACAAACTAGGCGTAGAAAAAACATATCTCAAAGTAATGAAAGCCATATAAAACAAACCCACAGCCAACAGCCTCCTGAATGGGGAAAAATTAAAAGCATTCTCCCTAAGAACTGAAACAAGAATTCCACTTTCACCACTGTCACTTTTACCACTTTCACCACTCCGAGTCAACATAGTACTGGCAGTCCTAAACACAGCAATCAGGCAAGAGAAAGAAATACAAGGCATCTAAATTGGAAAAGAGGAAATCAAATTATCCCTGGAGAAAGGACTCCATATTCCAAAAATGTGGCTGAGAAAATTGGATGGCCATATGCAGAAGAATTAAAATAGTCCCGTACATCTCACCATATACAAAAATTAACTCAAGATGGCTTAAAAATTAAATATAATACCTGGAATTAAAAAAATGCTGTAAAAAATTTAAGATAGACTCCTGGATATTGGCCTAAGCAAAGAGTTCATAACTAAGACCTCAAGAGCAAATACAACAAAAACAAAAATGGATAAATGAGACTTAACTAAACTAAAATGCTTCTGCACAACAAAATAAATGATCAGCAGGGAAAACAGATAACCTACAGAATGGAAGAAAATACTAGTGAACTATGCAACCAACAAAGGACTAGTATCCAGGATCTACAGGAAACTCAAACAATTCAACAGGAATAAAAATCATCATTAAAATTGCACAAAAAACACAAATAGACATTTTTCAAAAGAAGGCATAAATGGCCAAAATACATATGAAAAAATGTTCAATAGCAATAATCATCAGATAAATGCAACTAAAACCACATTGTGATACCATCATACTCCAGTCAGAATGGCTATTATTAACAAGTCAAAAAATAACAGACATTGCTGAGGATGTGGACAAAAGAGACATTTCTCAAAAGAAGACATGGAAATTGCCAACAGGCTAAGAAAAAAATGTTAAACATCACTTATGATCAGGGAAACGCAAATTAAAATCACAATGAGATATCACTTCACTCCAGTTAGAATGGCTATTTATCAAAAGACAAAAGAAAGAAAGTATTGGTGAGGATATGGAGAAACAATAACACATACTGTTGGTGGGATTGTTAATTAGCACAGCACTATGGAAAACAGTATACAGATTCTTAAAAAATTACAGATAGAACTACTATATGATCCAGCAATCCCACTACTGGATATATAACCAAAAAGAAAAAGAAAATCAGCATGTCAAAGAGACCAACTAGTGTCCAACAATTATAAAAGTATAAAGAAAATGCAATACAGTTAACACAACGGAATACTATTCCGTCATGAAAAATAAAAAATCTGCAATTTGCAACAACACAGTTGGACCTGTAGGACATCATGTTAAGTGAAATAAGCCAGACACAGAAAGACAAATACCATATGATTTTACTCATGTGGAATTATAAAAAAAAAAAACGGTTGATATCATAGAAGCAGATATTAATACAATGGCCTCTGGAGTCTGGGGTGGGGAAGGGGAAAGGAAGGGATGGTGGGAAGAAGTTGGTCAATTGGTACCACGTTATTTCAAAACAATTAGATGGAATGAGTAAAACCTGGTGTTTTTGCCACAGCAGGGTGATGATCATTAACAATAAGCATTGTGTATTACAAAATAGCTAGAAGAGAGAACTTTGAATGTTTTTACCACAAAAAAGGAAACATGTATGAGGTGATGTGTATGTTTAATACCCTGATTTGATCATTGTACAACTTATGTATCAAAGCATAAAACTGTACCACAGAGACATACCAGTTTTTAAAAATAAAATGTTGCAAAGTCATAGTATTTTATATGGACAATGGTGGAATATTAATGGTCCTCTTATGTTCATTAAAACACATTCGAACATCAGACAATACTTTTCATGCCCTGCTTTCACCTTATAATAAAAACTTTTCCTCATCTATATATTGTCCTGCTCAGCTATTTTTGGTTTTGTGCATTTCATCTTACTATTACTTTATCCAAGCAATAACCTAATTTTGCTCAAGTGTTTTAATTGGTATAATACTAAAATATAAGTCTCATTCCAATTCCCACATCACTACACAAAACAAAAAAAGCCATAATATTTAGAAACACTAACAAAATCAAATGAAATCATTAGAGTTACATGTTAACAGAGAAAATAATTATACTCAATAAAGTATATAATGTTTTTGGAACCAGTTAAGGTATTCACCATAGAAAAGAAACAATATGTTTGTCTCTAAGTCATGCAAAATACTAAGTAAATTGATGTAGGATAGAAAAAAATCACATAATTTGACAGCTACCTTTGTTTGGACACTAAAGATAATATAAAACTCGCTACTTCATTGAAAGTGATTGTGCATTTATAATTGAGAGAAAGTTTTATTTCCTTATAAGGTTTGCCACCTTGTTACTCTAACTTGATTGATTGGTTGATTAATCTTTTTTGAATGCTTCTATTTTGCCAGGCTATAGTACTGAGCCCTTGTTTTGTGTCATGGTGTATTATGTCTGAAATATAATAGTGATCATGACACAAATTTTGCATTATAGGAAATAAAGAAATATATATGTCAATAATGAGGTAAAGGCTATAAGAGAAATATATAATGATATAGGAACACTTAGTTACAAAAACGCACCAAGAAAACTAAAGTATTCCAGGGGAAAGCAGACTTCAGATGAAGACTATGCCTTATCCAGGTGAAGATAAATGTAAAGAGAGCAAGATCCACAAAGGGCCAAAATCAAACAACTCATACATTTAAGTGAGATGTAAAAGATTCAGGATGGCCAGAGTGTTTATCATTCATAAGAATATGAGGATGCTTGTTGGTCACATAAAAGTCTTCTTTTGAGAAGTGTCTGTTCATATCCTTCACCCCCTTATTGATGGGGTTGTTTGTTTTTCTCTTGTAAATTTGCTGAAGTTCCTTGTAGATTCTGGATGTTAGACTTCTGTCTGATGGGTAGATTGCAAAAATGTTCTTGCATTCTCTAGGTTGCATGTTCACTCTGATGATAGTTTTTTTGGCTGTGCAGAAACTCTTTAGTTTGATTAGATCGCATTTGTCTATTTTGGCTTTTGTTGCAATTGCTTTTGGTGTTTCAGTCATGAAGTCTTTGCCTATTCCTATGCAGCCATAAAAAAGAATGAGTCCATGTCCTTCGCAGGGACATGGATGAAGCTGGAAGCCATCATTCTCAGCAAACTAACACAGGAACAGAAAACCAAACACTGCATGTTCTTACTCATAAGTGGGAGTTGAACAATGAGAATACATAGACACAGGGAGGGGAACATCACACACCGGTGCCTGTCAGGGGGTGGGGAGCAAGGGGAGGGAGAGCATTAGAACAAATACCTAATGTATGCAGGGCTTAAAACTCAGATGACGGGTTGATAGGTGCAGCAAACCACCGTGGCATATGTATACCTGCACGTTCTGCACATGTATCCCAGAAGTTAAAGTAAAATTTAAAAAAAGAATAAAAATAAAATAAAATTGAAATTAAAATTAAAAAAGAATATGAGGGTGCATCATTCAGCAGCATTTGTGTTTGAAATGCTCTTGTGGGCAATGTTAGACAATTTGGACTTTATTTTAAGAAAACTATCAGGACTTTAAAAGACACTGAGCAACACAATGACATAATGAAAATGACTGTTTGGAACATCACTTTAGCTGCAGTGTGGAAAACCGACAGGAGAGAAACAGGATAGGACTTGTGTAAAATTTATAAATAGGATGACGGTGGTAGCTGAAATGAGTGTATTTGAAGAAAGGATAAATAGACATCCAGATTTTTGAGAAATATTTAGGAGAATAACGAAAAGCTTGATTAATTGGATGTGAGGGGGAATCATAGAAAATACCCAGCTTTTTTCCCGAGCAACTTCAACTTGGACTTATGCATAGTTTTGTAAATATGCTGACTACATCTTATTTCTCTTCTGTATTTCTCTTCAACTAAATGTATGGACACACTTGTATATATATCTGATCTAATCAGGCTTAATTGTCAACACAGATGTTCTTTAGCTTTATTATTTTATAATGTGGTTTCAAGACCATTGATGTCTAGATACAGATTAGTGTGTTAATGACCTTTAAAAATTGCAATAACTTAAATTTAAAATATTACTGTAATGTAAAATCACTGACACAAAATGTAGTGGAAATATTACTTTTAGTATTTAGAAAAAAATGAAACTGTATGGTGGCTTAAATATTTTTAAGAGGCCAGGCATGGTGGCTCATGCCTGTAATCCCAGCACTTGTGGGGAAGCCAAGGCAGGCGGATCACTTGAGGTCAGGAGTTCAAGACCAGCCTGGCCAACATGGTGAAACTCAGTCTCTACTAAGAAAACAAATATCATCTGGGCGTGGTGGCATGGGCCTGTAATCCACCTACTATATCGGCTGAGGCACCAAAATTGCTTGAACCTGGGATGGGAAGGTTACAGTGAACAGAGCTTTTGCCACTGCGCTCCAGACTGGGTTACAGAGCAAGACCTTGTCTCAAAAAAAAAAAAAGCTTTTTTTTTTTCTTTTCTTTCTTTCTTTTTTTTTTTTTAAAGAGGTGTATAAAAAAAGAAGATAAATATTTTTAAAGACTATATTATAAGCTTTCCTCAAACACTCCTACTAATGATTTGGTACCAATCCTGTATTAATAAATCCTCAAACAATCAATTATTTTTTCTATACATAATTTTAGTTAATAATTTGTTTAATTGTTACATTCACACACTAATAATTAACAAATACACTTCACCTTTTAGAATAACAAAACATTACAGTTAAGAATAAAATCTGCTTTTAACTACCAACCTTTATCTTTTTTAATGTATAAGCTTCAAGGATGTGTGTGTGTGTGTGTTCATGCACTTCTATAAACACACACATACAGTATATGTAATATGACATATTTAATGTTATACATACTCATAAATATTTATGTATGGATTTGCATATGTCTATATATGTGTGCATATTTTTATATAATCTTCCAAAAAGAAGATAAAACATTTGGCATAATGACTTGAAAGTAGTCTGAAAATTGCTTTATATTCATGAATATGCTTAATAATCTACATGAGTACTCATAATTCTCAGTCATTTCAAATCATTAATAATATTTTATCCATAAATATATTACCATACTGAACCTTCTACTGATTTATATTGAGGTATACAATTTATTTTCAATAAAATATAGATTTTTAAGTTTATTGACCAAGTTAATGATAAAAATGAATGGAAACGAGCTCAAATATAAGAAAAAACGGTTTTTAATATTACTAGCCTCTATCATGTTATTCAGCACAATTGAAGAATATTCTTTTCCCAAATCACCTTTGAATTGTTTTGCCATTCACCCTTGTGCTAAACATTAACAACAGATATCCAACAGGAGTGATGGAGGTTGCAAAATTTATAGTTTGCCTGTACATACGAAAAGAAGGTATGAGAGAAAGCCTTCTTATAATTTATGTAATTAGATTCTATTCTTCACTAATTACTCCTTCTCAGTGCTGTAATATAAGCTATGAGTATGAAAGTGGATATCACTAAGACATTTCCCTCCTCTTCAACCTTCTCCTCACCTTAACTCTAAAGTTTCAGAGTCCAAATCCTTCAGGAATTCATTTTTCCATCCACTCATTAAATCTGGATTAATAAAGTAATTCCTCAGAGTAAAAGACATATTATACAAATTCCAGCAGCAACTGATTTTGGTATTCGCCTATTTGGAATTTGACCTTAAATAACTGGTCAAATGGAAGTAGTTATGATGGATTCAGTGAACTCCATTGTTGTAATTGATTTGTTAATGCAATAACTGTTCCTCTGTAATTGCTGTAAATAGCATTCATTACTATTAATTGGAAGTTATTATTAGGGTCATATAAATCATTGAAAAGAGATATTTGTGGTATAGAGTGGAGAACTCATGGAGGACTGTAAACAGATCTTATTGCTAATGTAATGCATGAAAAGTAACTGTGAACTTACTGCATGATGTAGAAACTCAAATAATAAGTAATCTAAAGGTAATTTAAAATACCCCAGCAGACATTTTTTTATTAAAAATAAGGTGTTTGGATTATCAAATTGATATGGACAGGAGACAGGAACACTTGATAGAAGAGGGCAGTTCCCTGGGAAAGGCCCCACCCTCAAGCCTGGACAGCTGCGGTCCTAAAAGAGAACAAGCATTCCTTTTTCAGGCCCAAAAAGTTTCCTTTGGGCCCACACGCCCCCTATGCTTTACCCACATAAACCTCTAACTCCAGTCTCCAGAGCAGACCAGCAGACAAGGAGATGAGACAAGCAGATGAATGGCAGAATGACATGGTAGAGAAAGAGAAAAGAGGAGGAATGTCTGAACAATGAGAAGAGTTTGGCTGGGGATAGTCTGAGAGGAGTTCGGCAGGTAGACAGCCCAACTCCAGGGTAAGATCATCTTCCCACTCCATCCACCTTCCAGCTCCCCATCCATCCCAATGAGAGCCACTTCCACCATGCAATAAAACTACACATTCATCCTTCAAGGCCCTGTGTGAACTGATTCTTCCGGGATGCTGGGCAAGAGCTCAGCATACAGAAAACTGTCACAATGGCCCTCTGCCCTTGCAAAAAGGCAGAGAGTCCATCGAGTTGATTAACACTTAAAGCCATCTACAGACGACAAGGCTAAGAGAGCATTGTAACATTGGGTTTGCAGGCACCCACGCCTAGACACTACCATTGAGCTGGAGCCCAAAGCATTGTCCCAGCCTCTGCACCTGCCTATCTACATGCTCCCACTCCTGCAAGGGATTTGAGCAGTGGCGGTGACTGAATAAGCGAGCCACACCCCTGTCTCATGTCCTCCAAGAAGGATCAGGGAACTCTCCTGTTTCAAAATCAGAATAAGCCAACCAATGCATTTCCTTCTCCACAAAATTCATATCATGGAACAGTGGGGAGTGTCATTTTAGAAATATATTCAATGATTCTGACTTTGGGCAATGAAATTAATAGACACTGAAGATAATTTTGTGCATTCACAGTATGTTAAATGGCTTGTAGAGGGAGATTTTTGCAGAAAATTATTTTAATAATACAAATACGAGTACAAGGACTTACATGTGTAAACTGATGAAGAGATAAGAGTTCAAAATTTTAATCAATCAATATGAATGCATAAAATAAGGAAAATTATTGAGTCAAAAAATATTTCAAATTTCCTTCATTGGAAGAAACATAAGAGAAAGTGTGTTATTGCCTGCCAAGTTAAAAAAGTTGCATTCCCAAATAAAATACCAAAGGCATTAAGATATTTATATCAAGAGCTAATTCAATAAAATTTAATTCAGACTGAAATATAGTTTGTGAGGGAAAAAAATCCAATAGATAAGTAGACTATATTATATTGAGACTATTTATCACATTTGTTCCACTTTGTCTTATTTGATTAAAAATAAATTTGTATTAGGAACTACAATTAACCCTAATAATCCAGAACTCTTTGATCTTCATTAAACCTGTCCTCTTATAAAATTATTTTATATTGAATTGTGGCTATTGTTTTGGAAATTAAGGAAAAACAATTAATTATTTTTTTCTTCAAATTCCCTTAGTGAGTAAACTAGATACCACACTCATGTTACCAATTTATTGTAAACTTAGTGTGTCAGTTTTGAATGCTCTTATTTGGATAGAATTCATTTGGTTAAAAAGATAAACTTCCTTATTATGATAAAAGCATGTCATTAATTTATAAACCTTATTTTTAATCTATCTTGCTGAGGACTGGACAGAGAATTGAATAAAATGCACCTTCAAAATAAATAGTTCCTTCAGCTATATGAATGTGCCAAGATACCATGGTGATTTTTACAACACAATTGTTGCTAAGAGTGTTGAGATTATTCTCCCACCTTCCTTTCATCCTACTCAGAGAGTTCTGTTCAATTTATTCTTTCAGCAAGTTAACAAAAATCAAATGGACAAGAACCTGATGTTCTGAAGAAAGCATTTAGAAAGCAGCTAGAGGTTTTGCTGCCTCAGCTGGGAGATGCGGCATTTACCCTTTTCCAGTGATCTCTGACTGCGTTTGGATTGTCAAGATAGTGGGTAGAAGCCAGGAACATCTTTACCATCTGTGCTTGGCATCTTTTTATATAGTGCCTGCCAAAGGAGAAACAGCTTCTTTTAGTACACACCTCAGTGCCATTTTTCCTACCTTTTAACTCTCCATGAAATTACATTACAGATGACTTGGCAGCAGAGTCATAGACCAGCTAGAAATACGAGGAATGCACAAAATACAGTAAATTATCATTTTAGAAGAAGTATTTGTTATCTCAATACTTCTAGGCATAATCCATTTTGCTAAACATTATGCATTTACCTAATTCCTATACTGTAATTTGATAAAAAATCTCTTCTGAAATGCCATGAATAAAATTTATGAATGAGAAGGAATAGGTGTAAAGCCTAACTCAGACAAGAAAATCCACAAATATTTTGAACTTAGCAATTTTCTTAAATATAGGTGCTAAATGTGAAGGGTTAATTAATTTTGTTATATGACTTTGTTCTACTGGATAATTTTCTTGAATTTACAATATAAATATTTTACATGGAAATAAAAGATTTTTTAAAAGCTAAGTACACACTGAAGTAAGGCAGAAAATAAAATAATGGAAATGGAAAAGTCTGCAATCAAAATTATTTTTCAATTACAATGTATAAGTTAAAACAAAAAAAATCAAAATAATACATGCATTAATGCTCACTGTGCCCATTACATTGTATCTTATGTTACAATGGATTCATGTATTCATTATAAGCTCCAAAAATGGTTGGTAAACTATGTGATGAGAGGAGCCTTTTGTATGAAATTATTACTGAAATATGTTTTATAGTTTTCTGCTCCCATTGAGCTATGGATAAATATTTTGAATAAATGCACATTAGTTAATAACTTTTCCCAAGTAGCTTACAACTGATTAAAGAAAACACATATCTAGATAAACTTACATCAGGAAACTTTTGATAGTTCTTATAAAAATTACAAAATCTTTGTTATGTTTTCAAAATGTACAGAATTCATATGTACTTGAGTTAACAAGGAAATGGTATTTTAGATGTAATTGAAGACTTTGTAGAAAAAAACAGGAAATACTAGAGAGTATCATATGTGCTGAAAGAATTAGCAACCTATGTAATAGTAACTAGTTTGCTTTGATGTGTTACAGACAGAGGAATAGCAGGAAATAATACTGGGATGTTAATGTATTATATATCATCCTGAGTATCTGGCTTTAAAGTGACATAATTAGGTAAGAAAATAAAGGAAGTAATGAATCAATAGCTCAGGCAGGAGAATAAAATGTTTTAACACTTAAAGAAAATTAAGCCAAATATATATCCATATATAAATGTATGTATACACACATATATGTTTATTTAATTATTTATTTATTTATTTATTCATGGTGAGTTGAAGAAAAGATACTCGGTGCCAGGAAACTGGAATTGCAACAGATGAGGGAGGTAGTGATAAACGCTGGCTTGCATGAGGCAGTGGCTCTGGAAATAAGAGTGATTCAAAAGTAACTGGAATAATGATGGGCCATTTTGAGGTCTATTCTTGCCTAACAAAATCTCTAAACACTCATATAATACCAGAAACCTTGAATATTTTTTGAGTTAACAAAAGATAGGTAATCACTCTATGGAAATAAACTACTTTTAAAGGTTCATTAAGCATCGTATCTATTTTTCCTATGTCTCTCTGCACACGTTTCTCTCCTGATCCATTTTTCGTCTTTCTTCATTGCTGTTAGATCACCTTTAAAAGAAAATCTTGTCATGAAACATAAATCAGACTATTTTAAAATACATAACTTTTAGAAAATATAGTGTTTTTATAGTTCTTTGATATCTAATGAATGAGCTAACACGGTTTATTAATTGTGAATGCCAGAGTCTCCAATGAGTTGAATCCCGTGATTCATATAAAGTTATTCACAGAGTTCAGGGCATATACTACATAGCTAATCATCATTGGCAATTATACCCATTTAAATTCCATTTCTTATAGTTAGAGTAAATTGTTTTGACTAGGTTTTCCAAAT
The DNA here is from genome assembly GCF_000001405.40 of Homo sapiens. Taxonomy (NCBI): domain Eukaryota; kingdom Metazoa; phylum Chordata; class Mammalia; order Primates; family Hominidae; genus Homo; species Homo sapiens. The sequence continues at coordinate 83,203,710 of NC_000013.11, forward strand.
ACAAAAGTAGTTAAGTCTATGCTCTGCCATCTTCAATTTATTTGTTCTAATAATCCTGGAGCTAGTTTACTAAGAATTTTGGACAATGCTAGCAAGACATTCAGGTTGTAATTCCTAAAAATCAATTATATAAGAAAACTTAAAATAATTTCATGAGGAAAACTCAAAAGATATATTGACTGTGAAATCATTTTTAAAGTGACAGTGGCCAGTGGTAGAAGTGGACAAGATTGCCACAAGAAGTACAGCTATTTGCAAACAACAAAAAAATGAGAAGTGGAGAGAGGAGAGTATCTTTAAAAACACCTAGATTTGAACAAAAAGACCTAATCAAATGAAAAGTAGTGCTATGCTCAAAGGAAAATGAGCAAAGCACAATGATTGAAGGACCTGGGGTAAAAAGGCTTTATTATCATGACTTTTGCTGCAAGAGTGATGAGAAACATGAACATCTTGTGAGAGGTTTCCTTTTTTTTTCTTTTTCTAGTATTTGGGGGAGGTCAGAAATCAGATCTCTAGGAGTAGACTGCCGCTATCCTTTAAAGAGATTTGTAAATAGTGATAAAACGAACACTTTGATAAGGTTGTGAGTTTCTAGTCGCATGATTTAATCATGTAGAACCTGAATGACCACTAACGAATTAGTAATAGAGAGGATGGATCCAAACATATTTGGAATTTTTAACACATGATCTTAAAAACATTTTCTTACCTTACTACTATATGATTCCTATGCGTTAAACAGATAAGGTAAAATGTGAATATGTAGCAAGATTGGTGATGTCTTCCTGAGGTGTATTCATTCAGAAATGTTTACTCTAGAACTTTTAGTCAGATTCTATTCAAGAAATTGTGGATTCAGTGGCAAACAATGTGAAAAACACATGTAGTTTAATGGAATTTACATGAAAGTTAAGATCTATCAGAAAACAGTCAAATCACAAATTAACAGCGTATTTTGGATATTAATAGGTAATAAAAAGCACATGAAAAGAACAAGGTGTGAAACTTTGAGAAATGAAATTCTACTTTTATATGGGTGGTTAACATATATCTCTCTGCAACATTGTCTTCATTCGATTTATGCTGCCATAACAGAATACAAGAGGCATGGTAATGTATATGTGAATGAAATTTATTCATCACAGTTGTAAAGTCTCGGAAGCCCAAGATTGAGTGGCCAGCATTTTATAAGGGTCATTTTGCTGTGGCATTCCATGGCAGAAAGTGAAAGGGCAAGAGAGGGAAAGAGACAAAAGGGAACCAAACTCACTGTTTTATGAGGAATCCTCTCTGAAGATAATGGCATTATTCCATTCACAGTAGAGCCCTTATGCTTCCAATACATGCTTTTGAAAGGACACACTCAAACCACAGAAAACAATGACACAGCTGGAAATTTTAAAGATAGAACAGAAGGCAACCATGGAATGAGCTGTAGGGAGAAAGTTTCCAGCTGTGGAATCTGTATATTCAATGATCCTGAGCTTGGTGTTTTAAGAAATGGAATGGGCTAGGCGTGGTGGCTCAAGCCTGTAATCCACCACTTTGGGAGGCCGAGGTGGGCGGATCACCTGAGGCCAGGAGTTCGAGACTAGCCTGGCCAACATGGTGAGACCCTGTGTCTACTAAACATACAAAAATTAGCCAGGCATGGTGGCAGGCGCTTGTAACCCAACTACTCAGGAAGCTGAGGAAGGAGAATCGCTTGAATCTGGGAGGCGGAGGTTGCAGTGAGCTGAGAAAGCGCCACTGCACTCCAGCCTGGACGACAAGAGCAAAACTCTAACTCAAAAAAAAAAAAAAAAAAGAAAAAGAAAAAGAAAGAAATAAATGGAATGAAGACTGGTGTACTAAGTAGTCATAAATAAAGGAGGGCTTTGTAGAAGTTTGGTGCAGCACTGATAGAACTATTAAAGAGTAGAGATAGGAGATGTCTGCAAGGGTGAAAAATACTGGAGAAGTGGAGATCGGAGCAGCCTAAACTTTTAATTTTATTTATTTATTTATTTTATTTTATTTGAGATGGAGTCTCGTTCTGTCGCCCAGGCTGGAGTGCAGTGGCGCTATCTCGGCTCACCGCAAGCTCCGCCTCCCAGGTTCACACCATTCTCCTGCCTCAGCCTCCCAAGTAGCTGGGACTACAGGTGCCCACCACCATGCCCAGCTAATTTTTTGTATTTTTAGTAGAGACGGGGTTTCACCGTGTTAGCCAGGATGGTCTCGATCTCCTGACCTCGTGATCCACCCGCCTCCGCCTCCCAAAGTGCTGGGGTTACAGGCGTGAGTCACTACGCCCTGCCTAACCTTTTATTTTTAAAGATATGAGAGACACTTAATGATGCAGGAGTATTGTTGAGGTACAAATTAGGGATTCAGATCAGCGTTTATGTCATAGCCCTATTTCCAGTCGTTTATAAAGCAATCATCTGAGATAGAAGGAAATAAAGATTGTTTAGGCAGAAAGGGAGAGTAATGGAAATTTGTATCATTTTCTCAGGAAGTGCCAAAGGATTTTAAAAATTACATATTTCCAATGGCCAATTAGAATAAATGCATACATCAAATAAACATTTATTAAGCACTTACTATCTCCGAAATTAAGGACTAGGCACTGGGAACATAAAGAATAAAATATGTGATCCACGTTAGTTAATACTTGCATGAGAGATAGCACCACTAAAACTCCCATGAGTTTGCAGTAGTTCCCATCAACATAAACTTAAAAATGTATGCAATGAGTCCTAATCATACAAATTACAATAAATGTCTTTATTTTATTCTCTTCCATTAATAACAAAATCTGTAGTATGTGCACTGTGGAATTCTGCATTAATAATACTGTGGAAAGTAATGCATAACCATGAATTGGCCTCAGGCCTATAATTTTCTCTGTTGACAAGCATAGAAACTGATAATGTAGAGTGAATCACAGACATTATCTTGAATTAATGCAGCTGCTTGCTGTTATATGCAATTATTTGGATTCAGTTCCTTCACTCAGATCCATTAAAATATGTAAAAACATATGGAGTTTTCTTTAATCTTCAAGGTCAATATGTGCAATGCCAATAAACACTAAAATAATGTATAGATAAATATAAATGACAAATTTTGAACTCTGATGCCTTGCAAATTAAGCATACTCTTTGTCAGCTAAAGTGATAATAAATTTATAGAATGCTTAGTGTGAATATATATCTCCATTTACCTTTCTCTGGGTCAATAATAAATGGTTAGCCAAAACATTCTGAGGTCTCCTATATTGTTGAATTCATTAGTGTGCAATAAAGATATTTATATTTCCATATAATCCATTGTTATATTTTGACTTGCACTGTGCATATTAAGTTATTTAAATATTTTTCCATCTTAGAAATTAGGCTACATATTTTTTCCTACTAATTATACCCCAAATAATCATTTCCCCACATCTTGTTTTTTTGTATTGCCAGAGTCCTCCTCACCATTAGTTTATCCAAAACTGTAAAGGTATAAGAGATAAAATAATATTTTTAACTCACTAAAGGACAATCAATATTTTGCCAAACTCTTAAATGTTTAACTCCAGAACTCTCTTCTGTGGTTCACTGATTTTAAAATAAACACTAAGATTTTTATAACATTAGTCAATTCAAATTTTTCATGCACATTGTCTAATTAAATTATATATTTACCTAATAGAACACAAAAAATAAAAATGAAAAGCCTCAGTTGTCTTCCACATATACTTTCTCTGCGAAAACCTTCACTAGCTATACAACAATTGCAACCACAAATCTAAAAGTCATTTCTGTTTCTCTTCATTACATTTTATTTAACCAATTAATTGCCCCAGGGCTGAATAAAAATTTAAAATATTTAATCAAATGCATTTTATCGAAGTTATACTTGTCACTAATGCAAGCCTCAGGCCTTCTTGAACTCTGGTAATAGTCCCTTACCTTCTACCTTTTTCAGCTTTTAATCTATACCTAGCTTTGATTGCTAGCTTGATATTACTCAAAAAAGAACTAATTTTTGATTTAATAATCAATATTTGCATTCAAATGTTCAAGATTCAATAATTCTCTAAACTATTCACATTTGTCTATATGACTTCGTTGCTGCATAGGAATCCCGGTATTTAGCAGGCTTACTATTGTTTTTAATACGACCAGTCTCTGGGAATTGATTTTCTGACCTATGAGAATGTTTTATAATTTTCTAGTGATTCTTAGAATGGTCTTTAGACTACATATATCAGGATCATATGAGGTGGGACTTATTAAAATTAATAATTATATTAGTTTCCGATTGTTGCTGAAATAAAATATAACAAGCTCAGTGGCTTAAAATAACACAAATATGTAATTTTATTATTATGGAGGTCATATTTCTAAAATCAAGGTATTGGTGGGGTTATGTATTCTTTTAATGGGGGCTTTAGAGGAGAATCTTGGTTTAACCAGCTTCTAAAGGCCACCTATTTTCCTTGTTACATGTGCTTTCATCTTCAAAGCCAGCAGTATAGCATTTCCAAATTTATCCCACTTTCATAATTAAATTGTTTTTTTCTAACTCTGCCCATCCTGCTTACCTTTTATAATGACCTTTTTAATTACACTGGGTTCTTCCAGATATCCCAGGACAACTTTCTTATCTAAAGGTACTAAACCATCTCTGCAAAGTCATTCGGCTATGTAAGGTAACACAAACACAGGTTGCAGAGTACAGGACATGATAATCATTGGTGGGACATTATTTTGTCTACCAAAATGATCCTGATCACTTCACTTCACACTATAGAATCAGACTTTCTGCAGTTTAAATTACAAATATTCATATTTGAAGACAATGATGAAAACTTGGAACAAACAGAAAGAAGAGAAGAAGAGAGAAGGGAAATCCTGGTGACACTCTAAGACAAAATTTCAACTTATTGTAACAAGTTTCTAGAATTTGGATCCTTCTTCAAGCTGAGTTTTACAAACAAAATACTCAAAACTAATGAAAGATGCCATAAAGTTTCTCTTAAAACAAAATTTTCTAAATAAATTACTATTTCTTCTCTTTCAATCCATATTTAATTTATTGTGATATCTTACCATACTCCAAAAATGCTGTTCACTTTAATACATTAATTCCTTTGCTCTTGATGGAATGTTATTCTTTCAACCTGAAAGTTTGTTAAAATATATCAATGCAATTTTCAATGTTACTTTGTTTCTGAATTTTTTCCCAAATTTCTTGGAAAAAATTTATCAGACACTCTTGCATATCCTCATATTTAGCAATTGTTTTTAATATGCTGACAGTGTTCATTGTGTAGCTTTCTAATAGTTACTTTAACTTGGAGAACTCTTAAATATCTAGAATTTTTTCTAGCATCCCTGGTGCCACACAAGACATATTACAAGCATTCAAAGTCATTATACACACCTGCAAATAGCTTGAAAACCAATCATCTTTAAAATTGAGAAACAAGGCAACAAGATGACAGATAAGAACAAGCCAGGTTATTACCCACCTATGGAAACAACAATTTGGCAACTATCCACAAGCAAAAGTAGAAACCTTTTGGAAGTTTTTTGACCTAAGTAAGAGGTAATCAAAACCCAATGAGGTTCAAGACAAGGAAAGTTTCTTGAGAAGGCAAGTTCATGCCCCAGTAGCAGGTATACCACCAAAGACTTGGCTCCAAACCTGGAAGCATCCCCATTTTGCTTGTGGATTTGCTTCCATTTCCAAATGTCCATGGTCTCAGAGGAAGTACTGTGCATCCTGGGACATGGCAGAAGCCTCATCTATTTATAGATGAGGCTTTTAACGGGCTCACCAACTGCTAACCTACTAGAGCTCCATGACCAGGTCCAGCCCTGCTTCACTGCAGAAGATCCTTTCCTGCCAAATCCAGTCTATAAGAACTGAAAGGGAAGTTTTCTCCTTTAAATTTACAGAAACAATGCAAGAATCATTAAGAGTCAATAAAACACAACATCCAAATTGAAACTAACAAAGCTTCAATAACTGATCCTTAAAGAAACGGATACCCATGAAGTGATTGACAAATAATGTGAAATAATCATCTTAAAGAAGTTTAATGAGCTGCAAGAGAACAGAGACAACTGAAAATATTATAAAAATATATGAACAAAATGAAACATTCAGGAAGAAATAGAAATCAGAAAAAATAAACAGAAATCCTGGAATGAAGGAATACAATGACTAAACCAGAAAATTCAAAAGAGAGTTTCAATGGTTGACCTTATTAAGCAGAAGAAAAAAGTAACAAAATCAAACAGGTGTTTTCAAATTACTCAATTAGAAAAACAGAGACAAAGGAATTCAAAAAAGTGAAGAATGCTACAGAACTGATGGGACACCATAAAGCAGACAAATAATATATTACAGAAGTCTCAAAAGTAAATCAGAGAAGGTATGTAGAGAAATAATGAATGAAAATGTCCCAAATCAAAGAAAATGAATGGATATCAAAATATTAGGAAGCCCAAATATCTACAAATAGTTCAACTCAAAAAAAGCCAACACTGAAATATGTTATTATTAAATTTCTAAAATCAAAGACAGAGGATTTCGAAAGTAGTGAGAGAAAAATGACTTGCCACACAGAAAGTAATGTCTATTAGACTCTCAGTAATTTATCAGCAGAGATCTTGCAGGCCAGGAGAGAGTGGGATAATATATTCAAAGCACTAAAATTTAAAAAAAAAAAAAGCCCTGCCAGCTAAGACTACTTTGCCCAGCAAAATTGTCCTTTAAGAACATAGAAGTAGATTGTACCAGGCATTACGGCTCATACCTGTAATCCCTGCACTTTAGGAGGCCAGGATGGGTGGATCAGTTGATGTCAGGAGTTCAAGACCAGCCTGGGAAACACAGTGAAACCTCATCTCTACTGAAAATAATAAAAATTAGCTGGGTATGATTGTGCATCCCTGTAATTCTAGCTACTCAGGAGGCTGAGGCATAAGAATCACTTGAACCCAGGAGGCAGAGATTGCCATGAGCCGAGATCTCACCACTGCACTCTAGCCTGGGTGACAGAGTGAGACTCAGTCTCAAAAAAGAAAAACAAAACACTATATATATACATATATGTGTGTGTGTGTGTGTGTGCATATATATATGTATGTATATATAAATATATATATATATATATTAGATTGAACCAGGAAAAAATTGAAACCCTGAACAGATCAATAATGAATTCCAAAATTGAATCAGTAATAAAAAAAATACCAACCAGAAAAAGCTCTGGACCACAGGGATTCACAGTTGAATTCAACCAGATGCATACAGAAGAACTGACACCTACCCTACTGAAACTATTCCAAAAAATTGAGGAGTGGGTATTCCTAATCATCCTGAGGCCAGCATCTTTCAAATACCAAAACCTGGCCGAGACACAATGAAAAAATAAAAAAAAAAAACTTCAGGCCAATATTCCTGATGAATATAGATGCAAAAATTCTCAAAGAAAGTCCACCACACCAAATCCAGCAGCACATCAAAAAGGTAATCCACTACAATCAAGTAGTCTTTATTCCTGGGATGCAAGGTAGGTGCAACATACATAAATCAAGAAATGTGATTTATCACATAAAGAGAACTAAAAACACAACCAATATGATTATCTCAATGGACACAAAAATACTTTAAATATGATGGAATATCCTTTTATGTTAAAAATCCATAACAAATGAGGCATTAAAGGAATGTACCTAAAAATAATAAGAGCCATCTATGACACACCCACAGCCAACATCATACTGAATGACCAAAAGCTGGAAGCATTCCTTTGAGAACTGAAACCAGAGAAGTATGCTCATTCTCATCATTCCTATTCAACATAGTACTGGAAGTCCTAGCCAGAGCAATCTGTAAACGGAAAGAAATAGAAGGCATCCAAATAGAAAGAAAGTCAAACTACCTGTATTTGCAGACAATATGATTTTACACCTGAAAACTGCATAGTCTCTTCACAAAGACTCCCATATCTAATAAAAAAAGAAAAAATCTTCAGCAAAGTTTTACTGTACAAAATCAGTGTACAAAAATCAATACCATTTCTATACACTAACAACATCCAAGTTGACAGCCAAATAAAAAATACAATTCTATTCCCAAGGTCACAAAAAGAATAAAAGACCTAGGAACATGCCTGGCTAGGGAGGTGACATATATCTACAATAGGAGTTAGAAAGCACTAATAATAATAAAAAATAATCAGAGACAACACAAGTGAATGGAAAAGTATTCCATGCTCATGAGGAGGAAGAATCAATATTGTTAAAATGGTTATAATGCCCAAGGCAGTTTACAGATTTAATGTTATTGCTATCAAACTACCAATGATATTTTCACAAAATTAGGAAAAAAATGGTTCCGAAATTCATTCGGAATAACAAAAGATCCCAAAGAGCCAATACAATCTTAAGTAGAAAGCAAAAAGCTAGTCATCACACAACTCTACTTCAAACTATAATGCAAAGCTATAATAACCAAAACAGCATGGTACTGGTACAAAAACATACATGTAGACCAATGAAACTGGTTAGACAATCCAGAAATAAAGTCACACACCTACAACCATCTGATAATTTACAAAGTTGACAGTACAAAGCAATGGGTAACAGGCTCTCTATTCAATAAATGGTGCTGGGATAATGGGTTAGACGTATACAGAAGGGTGAACCTGGACTTCTTCTTTTTACAATATACAAAAATCAACTTACAATGCATTAAAAACTTAACTGTGAAACCTAAAGGTATAAAAACCATGTAAGAAAACCTAGGAAATGCCATTTTGGACGTAGGCCCTAGCAAAGATTTTATGATGTATTAAGACTCCAAAGCAATTCTAAAACCAACAAACAAAACTTGACAAGTGTGGTCTCAGAGTTTCTGTACAGCAAAAGCAACTATCAGCATAATAAATAGATAACTTACAGAATGGGAGAAAATATTTGCAAACTATGCTTTAACAAAGGTCTAATATTCAAAATCTATTAGAAACCTAAACAATTAACAAGCAACACCAAACAACTCTATTAAATGGACAAAGAACATGAGAAACATATCTCAATAAAAGACATTTTTGTGGCCAAGAAACACATGAAAAAATACTCAATGTCATTAATCATTAGAGAAATGCAAATCAAAAACCACAATAAAATACCACCTCACACTAGACTTCTCAAAGAACTTAAAATAGAGACAATTTACCTCAATTTATCTCTCTCTTCTTACATTTTACTATTAGCAGTCAGAAGAAACCAAGCCATTTCTGAAACATTTATTTTAGAATTTCCTGAGCTAAATAGCTAATTTAATTCCTCACATGTTCTGCCATCTACGAAATGCTACAACATAAACACAATTCAGTCAAGTTCTTTGCCACTTCATAACAAAGGTTACTGTTTCTCTAGTTTCCAATAATATGTTTTTCATTGCCATTTGTAATCTCCTCGGAATAGCTTTTAATGTCCATATTTCTACCTACATTCTAATCCATTTTTTTTTATTCTCAGTGTACCCTCAAATTTCTCTCACGATGTGTTAAGTGGGTTTTGAAGGCAAACATTTAATAAAATAAAGGTAAGTTAAAGACAGAACTATTAAATATAAGGGAGCCAAAAATTGCTAGGATGGAAAACTTAATTCTTATTCTTGCCTGTGAAAAGGCAAATGATGTTATAATTAAAAAAATACTTTTATACAGAATGAAATCCAAGGCACTCTTTCCTACCCTTTATTTGATGGTACAAATATGATGCCAAGGTTATTACTGTACAATCTTTAGCCAGGAGCTCAGAAATATTTCTTTAAGGCAGTGCCTCATAGACCACATCACGTAGAGAAAGGACTGTTACAAACCGACAAAAAAGCTTCTAAAAATCTTAAGCCTGTGCTTCGCAAATTATCTCCTTTAAATAGCAGACATCCTTTGGATTTAAGGACATTGCCCTACAGCATCTTGACAGGGATGCAAACAGGAAGTGCCTCATTTCAAATAGATCAGTGGAAGTGACTTTTGTCTAATAACATGTTCTTCATTTCCCTCATTTATATCACCAGAATGGGCTTAAATGTCTACATTTCTATCAACAGTCTGTTCGTGATTACTTAAATATTCTCTAAGAAGATGAAAGCATTCTCTCTAGTTCTCCTCTTCTGTTTCAGCCCTCACCAGAATAGCCAGAGGCTGGAATCATCTCAACTCTTGGTCAGGAAGTTGGGCCTGTCAGTAGGGACATTAGCTATGACTGTCAGCCAAAATTTTCATGTGGCTTTTCAATGTACACTGTCAAATACATAATTTTATGATATGCAAAAATTATCATATTTTCTAATTTAATCAACATTGAATAAAACAGTAGCATGACCAAATGTGTAGCTCACTTAATGATCATCTCATTAATGAAATATGCAGACAGCTAGAAGGAGATTTTTATGACATTATTTGTAACTCATTAAGTAGCAAATACGTGGTGCCCCTCTTTCTCAAAATCAAGTGAAAACAAGACAAAATGTCATAAAGATGAGTTTTGACAATAAATGCCAAAGACATTTTGTGATTCATCAAGACTTTTGTGATAAAGAGAAACTTTTCTCTTTTAAAAGCTCATGAAATGCAGTGTGCATGTGCAGGCAATGACGTTAGTATACTTAAGTTTGGTTTGTAAGAAGAAGAAAAATAATGCTTAACGATAATTTGAATAAAGAAAGAATAACATGATAATCTCAGATCTGAGAATGTGTTAAAAGAAGACATGGCTAAACCAGAAACTGGTTTGAACAAGCAAGATTCCCCATTCAATGCTGTGAAAGCTTCACTGTGAGCCTTAATTTCCATATTATACTGCAGATGAGATACTGGAATTCTCAAGTTATAGCTGTCTCAAATGATTCTCTTAAAATATTAATGAAAATAAATAATGACAAATGTTTAAAGAATGTAAACCATAACGTATTAGTCCATTCTCATGCTGCTGATAAAGACATATCTGAGACTGGGTTATTTATAAAGAAAAAGGTTAATGGACTCACAGTTCCATGTGGCTGGGGAGGACTCACAATCATGGCAAAATGGGAAAGGAACATCTTACATGGCAGCAGACAATAGAGAGAGAATTTGTGCAGGGAAACTCACCTTTATAAAACCAACAGATCTCCTGAAACTTATTCACTATCACAAGAACAGGACAGGAAAGACCTGCCCCCATGATTCAATTACCTCCTAGTGGGTCTCTCCCATGACACATGGGAATTGTGGGAGCTACAATTCCAGATGAGATTTGGGTGGGGACACAGCCAAACCATATCACATAATACAGATGCAGGTACAGGGATTATTACCGAAGCAGGCTTAGGTGATTAAGATCATGGACTCCCAAATCAGTGAAAATGTGGTCTGAATTTTGGCTCTGCCACTTCCTAGTCAAATGACCCTTTTTGTGTTTCTTGATATATCTATACCTCTGTTTCCTCATCAGTCAGATGGGGATTATGAGTGAACCTATCTCATAGGCAACTGCAGCGGATTAAATATTCTAAGTGGATATAAAGGAATCAGAACAATTCCCAGGAAACAACAAGAGCTTTATAATTGTCTTCAATTATCATTATTTGTGATTTATTCCTGGTTCTGTGCTTTTTAGTTTCTGAATTAAATTGAGTAATGGAAGTAAATTCTACTTTGTATAGTATCTTGCAAGTCAGAGGGAAAATCTGAACCACCATTGAAATATAAAAAATTCAGTGGAGATAGTTTTCTTGATATAATTTGGCAAAGGTTAGAGGTTCATTTTACTCTAACATATTCTTTCTGTGAGGAACAACATTTCCTTGGAGAGGACATAGGTTTATTTCAGTTTCAGAAATAACTACCCTACAGAGTAACAATTTACAGATTTACAAGTTTAAACAGTAAAAAATAATAAGCTAGCTAAATTACCCATTGGAGTAAACTCTTCCAAAATTTAGGAACATATTATCTATAAAGCACAAAGTTAACTTTAAAATGTTTAAGGCCCATGATAGTGCTCAATATGTTACAATCAAGAAACTATTAAAATCTCTCAGTCAGTTGATACCACATTGCTGAGTGAATGAATCATGCACAATTTCCTGCAAGCTAATAAAAGAACATTCCAATTTCCACATGGAAGCAAGTTTTCTTAGAAGATGTAACTTTTTTGTGTTGTAAGGATTAACTGCCTGAAGAATTTGTGTTTTAGGAAACTCCAAATTTTTTTTTACAGTTTGTCAATATTAATTCATTTGGGGAAATTGATGAGGAGATCTTTACCGATATTTTAAGTTAGATATTGGTCTACTTGTCTGTTGCAGCTTAAAAAGTTAATACCAAAATTTAATGACTTAAAGAAACATTTATTTTACTAATGAATATGCAATCCTGGAAGAACTCAGTAGGGATGGCTTATCATTGCTCTATTCTGCAAAAGCTAGAGGCCTCAAAGGCCAGAGACTGGAAATATCTAATCACTTGGGCAGGGATTTGGTGTTGTCAGTAGGGACATTAGCTGAGACTGTCATTGAAACACCTTTATGAGGCTTCTCAATGTAGCCTCAAAACTTTTACAATATGTTGACTGGCTTTCAAAGCAAACTATACCAAGAAATGAAAGAATGATGAAGATAAAACTATTAAATATAAAGGAACTCAAAATTGCTAGGATAGAAAAGTGAACTCTAACACAATTCCTGCCTTTCAAAAAGGCAAATGATGCTATAGTTAAGAAATTACTTTCATATAAAACCAAATCCAAGGCCTTGCTCCCTCCCCTTGATTTGGGTGGTACAGAAAAATGAAGCCAAGGTTATTATTCAAAAACCTGTAGCCAGTAACTCAGAAATATTTAAGGCAGTGGTTTATAGACTGTTTTACATATACAAAAGACTTTCCAACAGACAAAAGGCCCTCTGAGAATCATAGGGCTGTTCTTTGCAAATCCTCTCTTTTAAATAATAAAGCTCCTTTGAATTTAAGGACATTGCCATACAGTAGTTTAACAGGGATGTAAACAAGAAGGGACTTATTTCAAAGAGTTCAGTGGAAATGACTTATGTCTAATGTAATTGCTAGGGGTGGACGAGGGCATCAGCAAACTATAAACAAAAGGCCAGATCAAGCTCACTGAATATTTCTGCAGGTAAAAATTCATTCACACACTGCCACATACCTTCATTTACATATTGTTTATGGTTGTTTTCATGCTACAACCACAGAGCTGAATAATTGTGTCAGAGAACATATGGCTGCAAAAAGAGAAATATTTCTTTTCTGACCTTTACAGAAAAAAATGCTAACTCCTTTTACAGATTATTTACTCATTCATAAACAACTCAAATAGCTTTCAAATGAATTGTATTAGTTGGACTTAACAGGACCAGGACAGCTCAAAATGGGGAGAAGCTTTTGGACTCTCATATTTCTGTGGGCAACAAGAAGGATGATAAAAATACTGAACTACAAATTGGGGGTAACTTTTATATAAAATAAAGAATAACTGAGATGGTAAAAGAGAGGTCCAGAGGGTTGAGTCAAGAATTTGGAGAATATTTCCAAAGCTATAATTCTCCATAGCGCTATACTGTAATCAAGGAACTGACAGCATATGTCTGGATTTTAGGATTGTCATGGCCAAGTCACTGACTATAGTGTTCCTGCTATATTTCTCCTTTATGCTGGGAAGTATCTATGGCAGATATCCTATACCTAGTCCAACAGCATATGTTGGGATGCATGTGGAAAAATACATGTCTTGTTATACTGCTTGTTTTCTGAATGAGAAGGTTGATAACTGAAAGAGTTACACTGAGATATGATACTAGACTGAAAAGAATCATCTACACCTGGACCTGATTTAGATACCAAAATCTTCAAGCCTCTAGGCTAATCCAATGTTGTCACAGGATAAGACTTTGATGGGTTTGGGAACAATGGTGAGGGTATTTTGCAAATAAGAGAAATTTTTTTGTTTGTTTGTTTGTTTTTTGTTTTGTTTTTTTTTTTTTTGGTGAGGCCAGAAGACAATGTGACTGATATGGTGTGAATGTGTTCTCCAAAGTTTGTGCATTGGGAACTTAATCTCCAATGCAACAGTGGTGGAAGGTGGGCCTAATAAAAGGTAATTAAGTTATGAGGGACCTGCTCTCATTAGTGGGTTAATGTCATTATTGCAGAAGTTGGTTTGTTATCATGAGAGTGGGTTTGTTAAAAAAGTGAGTTTGGCTGCCTCTCGCTTGCTTGTGTTCTCTTGCCCTTCCTTCTGTTTTCCACCATTGGATGTTGTAGCAAGATGGTCCTCACCAGACGGACCTTGGACTTCCAGCCCTCCAGAAGTATAAGAAATAAACTTTTTTTTTTTTTATGAATTACCTAGTCTCAGGTATTCTGGTATAGCAGCACAAAATTGACCAAGACATTGGCAAATTTAATTTTCAAAAATATTTTCAATTGCACATGCTTTTCCAGCCCCTGCCACAGTTTACTGAGAAAATGGAATCCATGTCCTCTATTTTTGAATATGGATGGGCCTTTGTAGCTACTTCTATAAACAGAATATTTTGGAAATAACACTGTGTTTTTCTATGCTAGATCATAAAAGATGATACAGGCCTTCACCACTTGCCCTGACTCCAGACTTGAAGAGCCCTCACAATAGCTTACACTATTTTCATGGATGTAAAGCACTAGTTGTCACCAGCACCTCTCCCACTGACTGAAGAGAGACTACTTTGCTCATACTCTCACCAGACCGAACACATGGGGGTTCCACCTTATCCAGGGACTGTCAGACAGAAGCCCAAAAAGGGGACTCTGGCCAATGGGATACTGGAAAATTATTTGATATCCCCTTTTCTCAAGATAGATTATTCCAGCACAGAATGATTTCATGCATCTTCTATGGAGATGTTTCAAGTGATTAGGCTAACAGATTTGAATTATTGCAAAGCAATGTCTAGCTCAGTAACATTATTTTCTTATTTGCGCTCTCCCATTCCTTCTTTAGTTACCTGTTTCCTTTCCCTCTTATTCTCTGTTTTGCAACACCTGGAGAAAGTGTTAGCACATAAGCTTTTCATTTAGAATCTGTTTCTTAGAGAATGCAAGGAATGAATAATCCTGGCTAAGAAAATATCCTTGTCTTCAGAAGGCTAAAATTAGATTGATTAGCTGTATGTATGTATGTGTATGTGTATGCATAAACTCATATCGCTAAAATTATATTAATTTTCTACATATGTGTGGGGAGAGAGAATAGTCAGGAAATATTGACCTGGAATAAAACTACTTAAGTCCAAATCCCTACACTGTCTTTTAGACTCTGTGTAATCTCCTGACCCAGTTTCCCTTTGGTTAAAAAATGATAATCATAATTTTTCATTTGGGACTCATAGAACACTGGCTGCAATAGAGGAAGCTCTTAGAAATTTTTATAATTCATTTATTATTATTATTATCATTATTTTTATGGAAAAATCATATTCTACATGCAGGTTTCAAATACAGCAATAAAATTTATAAGGTTATTTTTAGAATATAACACTTTAAAAAAGTAATGGCATTGCATTAGTTATAGATATGTTAACTGTTACATTAAATTAATCATGAGCTAAATACATTCATGTATACATTAACCTACTTGAAATCACGTAATATGCAGATTGAATTAACTAACATATTTTTTAATAATGTGCTTGTCTGTATTATATCTTTCATGGGTTTATTAAACTGCATAAATCAGCATTAAGGATAAACATATATTTAGTTATACAGTTAGGCAATGCTACTAATTTTAGCTGTGAAAATGGATTTTATTTCAAATTATTTCAATTCAATACTTTCTATATACAATGTACAAACCCAAAACTAAATTATCTTTCATTTACTAACAAGAATTTTATTGAAGTTTTTTTCTTCTGTGGCCATGTTATAAAAATAAGTTAGCAGTTTTTATACTATTTTTAAATATTTGATAATCTTATTACTACTCTTTCATTCTTCTTTCATTCAGCTTAAATTATGCTACAACAAATGACCCTACTACAGCAGTGGCTTGTGAAATAAAAGCTTATTTCTCACTCAAGTTACATGTCTACTGAGTGTCAAGAATGTCTCTGTTTTGTGTGTTTACTCTGAATATTAGTTTAACGGAAAAGCCCCAATTTGGTCCAGACTGATCTCGTGGCAAAGAGAAAATAACTTGGCAAAAGTAAACTTGACTTATAAAAAGCACACATCATGTGTGCTCACATGTAATTGACCAAAGCAAGTCACATGACCACTTCCTAGTTCAACAGAAAACACACCTGCAACCCTCAAGTCACATGACCATATTTAATTTCAATAAGCTTGAATACAGTGTGAGGCAAAACATATTTTCACGATCATATCATTTATATGTTATTTCTTTTCTCCACACAAAATTCATGCAACCCCTTTTCAAGGGATACAAGATAAAAGTCACATAAAAATTCTGTATAGTCTTAAGAGTCCAGAATCTCATGATTAGATATAGATGTATCTCTATGGAACTAACTCTATAATGAGAGAAAGAATATATCAAGCAGGAATCATGAAAGTATGAATTACCTACCACTCCCTTCCTTTCAGGCCTCAGTTTCAAATACCTTTGTGAAGTTTCTCTTTCTGTATATGCGAAGGTGGCAATGATAACAGGCTGAACATACAGTTGCACCACTCTGTGATCTAGCTGGGCTGAGTCACATTCAGTGGCTTATTTTGAGACAGGTTTCTAAATAGAAGCTTACAGAAATAAGATCCACTGTCCTAGCCCCCAGCTCTTTTCATCCCATTGGCTCTAAGTTTTCAGTTGATGTCAGAGATGGTATCAGAGACAAATCGTTTAATATTAAAAGACCCCATCTTCATGATACCTAGAAATATAAATGGCACCCATTTTATTTCCTAAATATTTTCACACTGTAAAACACACACTAAATACACCCTTCTACTTTAGTTTTTCACAAAAGAGGCAACAATATCTTATTTGAAGAATAACAATTCCAGAATCCATCCCTCTTGTCAAATTGACCTTATAGTCTCACAGAGTTGTGCAATGTCTGGCAGTATGTATGTGTCAAAAATTATAGGTTTTAGTCATGGGAATACATTAGCATGACAATATGTCAGAAAAATAAAAAAGTATATATAGAAAGGTCATAAAATTTCATGCCAGACAGCCCTAAGTGTAAACCCTGATTCTGGTATTTGTCAACTATACAACTATCACTCAGAACTTCCCTGCTGCAGTTCTCACCCCTTAAGAGTAGTTATTTCTCTATACGAGATCATATAGGTTTGAGTAAACAAAAGTAACCATTTCAACCATCTGCAACCTATAGAAATTGAGCAGAATTAGATACAATTAAACAAGAACCACTACATCTTAATTGTGAAAAAGCACTCCAGCTGTCTGACTGTAATAATACCACCTTCTCTTCAATATTCATATAACTGTCAGAGCAGTGCAGTTGCTCAGAATGTAGATATTTCTATCTTCCCAGTAGCATAGATGAAGTTTCAGAAGTTGGATCTCTCTTATTAAGTAGCTTATTCACCTCAGTGTTCTAATCAGTTGATTCCAATGAAGTTTTCTAAATCTCAACATGCAGCTCCTATGTAATTGCTACTACTTCTCAAGATAACCATAAGCTCCTCCTTCTTTGGCTAGAAGCCAGGTCTCACAGCTACACTTCAGCTGCTAACAAGTAGGGAAGAGATGGAGATCTCTGCATAGCTACCTACTGGGTGAATGTTGGGACTTAAAAACAGTGTACGGAGTCTGGGATTTCAGCTGCTGAAGTTTTGGAGGCAACAGATTTGAGGAAATTAAGACATCTGGCACACAGACTTCACCTAATGACCAGTTTCAGGTGCTACTTTCTGAACTCATCCAGGATGCACAACTAATCTAAGGAACGCAATCATTACCCAAGTCACAGAAGGGTTCAGTGAATACTATCAAATTCATGTTTTATGTAGATTCCTTTAAAAAATTATTTGGCTATCTCTGAAGTTTCTGCCCCAAGGTTATTTCGCCTTATTAACAGGCTTTTCCACCAGCCCAACGGGGCAAACAAATACGTGCTTGTGGTCATTTGGTGGTTAAAACTGTAAGTTGCGTCTCATGTGAGGGACTAATGAAATGTTGTGGTAAGGTGATAAATGACGCATCAACAAATAGGCCCCAGGTAAGCCATCATCCATTTAATCATTTCACTTATACTTTAAGACCCTTTCCTGGCAACTTTTTCAATGTTAAAGAATAGGAAGTTGCTTTTGCCAAGGGAAAATAATCACAGAAGAATGAGACAGCAAATTACTCATCATTTTGGCAAAAGTTTTGAACAGCCAAAAATACGTCTTAGTTCAGGTCCAAGAATACAGATGTCTGTATTAGATGACTAAGCAGGTTTATCACTGGCAAATTCATCTAGAGTCCTTCTATTCCAGGAAGTGAAAAACTGGCAAGGTAAATGGTTTCTTCATGTATTAAATACTGAGAAAGGACCCTGAAAATGTCTTACATTTGTGACAAGAGAAGAAGCTGGGATTCTAAACCTCGATGAAGAAAGAAACGGAGTATTCCTATGTATGCCAATATAAAGTATAACAACTTGAAAGAATATATTAATACTATATTGTACACTTTGCAGTTGAGAGTTTTAGACAGAACATTGTGGCTAAGGAAACCACTCCTACTCTCACTTTCACATAAATAACTTGGCCTCTCAAGTGATCTACACTGGCATAGAAAGAGACGTACAATTAAAAAATAATAATAATAACCAGAAGTATAGTTATGGGTTACAAGACTATATGATTAAAAAAGAAAAAAAAAGATCTTGGAAAAAGCATTCTCAGCCCACATTAATTTATAATTCTTAGTGTTGAGGTGATATTTACATGTTAACTATCTGGTTGTGAAAGCAAACAAGAAATATATTCAGTGATAAAATGTGTAATATTCATGTGTAAACTAACCCAGAAAAAAATTCTTAATCATTTTATAATGAATGATAACTTTTCTCAGAAGCCACAAAATGGTGCTTTTATTTTCTTCTTTATACACATAAACACACACACGTACACAAGTATGTTCTATATAACTCAAATGATTTTATCCTAAACCCAAAATTCATGTAGCTTATTAGTATTTATTATTAAAGTTTATTATAAAAAGTGTTTAAAAAATGATTTAAAACACCAAGTTTGTTTAAGTGGGCTGACAAAGGTCAATGTATTTGGCTTTTCATCTTCCTTTTTTTTTAAAATAGTGTTTTAGAGCAGTTTTACATTCACAGCAAAATTAAGAAAATGGTACAAAGTTTTCCCATATATGAATACTTCCTCTAACCATAGTTACATAGCTTTCCCCCATTACCAACCCTCCCTTTTACCCAGCAGAGTGATACATTGATGAGCCTACATTAACACATCATCACCAAAATTTTGTAGTTTACATTAGAATTCACTCTTAATGTTGTACATTCCATGTGATTAGACGGACCTATATCCATGGTTACACTAGTATATAGGGTACAACAGCCTCCCCTTATCCAAAGGGGATATGCTACAAGACCCTCAATGGATGCCTAAAAGAGGATAGTACTGAAATTTATGTATCACGTGTTTTCTCTTATACCTTTTAGGATACATACATACCTATGATAAAATTTAGTTTATAAATTAGGTACAATAAAAGATTAACAGCAATAACTAATATTTAAATAGAACAATCATAACAACATAACTGTACTATAATAAAAGTTATATAAATGTGGTTTTTCTCTCCCTCTCAAAGTATCTTATACTGTGCTCACTCTTCATTCTCTCATAATGAAGAAAGAAAAGAGTGGAACAGTGTGAGATTTCATCACACTACTCAGAACAATACACAATCTAAAACTTATCAATTGTTTATTTCTGAAATTTTCCATTTAGCATTTTCGCTGTACTAACATCCTCTGTGTTCTGCCTTGTCATTGTTCCCTCCCCCATCAAACATCCAGCAACCACTGATCTTTTTATTTCATAATTTTGCCCTTTCCAAAATATCACATAGTTGAAATTATACAATACATAGCATTTCCACATTGCCTTCTTTCACTTAGTAATATGCATTTAAATTTTCTCCCTGTCTTTACATGGCCTGATAACTCTTTTATTTTTTAGTGCTGAATAATATGGCATTGTCTGAATGTACAGCAGTCAATTTATCTATTCACAGACTGAAGGACATGCTAGATGATTTCAAATTTGGGCAGTTAGAAGTAAAGCTGCTATAAGCATCTATTTGCAGGTTTGTATGGACATAAATTTTTAAATCCTTTGCGTAAATACCAAAGAACATGCTTGCTAGATCATATGGTAAAGATATGTTCAGTTTTGCAAGAATCCGCCAGATTGTCCTCCAAAATGACTCTGCCATTTTGCATTCCCACCAGCAGCAAAGGAGAGTTCCTCTTGCTGTACATGATCATCAGTCTTTGGTGTTTTCTCACCAGTCTTTGTCAGTGTGGATTCTGAGTTCTCACCTTTTTAAATAGGAATTCTCATAAGAAACTCTACAGTTTTATGTCTGTACAAGTAATCATTACTTAGCAATAAAGGGTAAACATGCATTAATTTATTATTTCATTCACTTAGCAGTAAGTATGGGTATGAAATAAGTAGAGTTATGCTAGAAATAAAAATATAAAACCGTTAAGTTTGAAGTGTCCTACCTTTTTAAAATTTTATCTCCAAATGCAGAAAAAGAAACATTACAATATTTTGTTATATGTGTTAGGATTAAAGTATTTAAAAAATGTCATAGAGTCCGAGACCAGGTGCTCAGTCTGGGAATGGGGAAAAGGTATTTGAAAGAGCTATCACTTATATTGTATTATTGTATAATGTGTTTAACTTAGGATATTTGCAGTTCAGATCATCCAATTACATTATTATATCAGGCATTTATGCTTTTATTGGATGTTTGAGTTTTTCTTATATTCAATTTTTTTGTATTATATTAATAAAGTAGAATTTGCTTTTTAGTTTATTCCCTTCATTGAAGATCTTATATATAATAACAAGGTACTCTTAAACTAATCAAATGATATTCCATTTACCTCTTTTATTAACTCATATTTGCTTTAATTCAGTAAATGTTTGAGATACAAAGGTGAATGTGACAGGTCTTGGATTGGATGACAAAGCAGGAATAGAAAGATCAACTTGATACAATCAGGAAAAGTTTTGCAATGTTTGTTAGTAATGTATGAATTGAATCTTAAAAATAGGAAGGAATTTGCCGATGACAAATGTGCACACTGTGTTCCAGAAAAGTAAAGCTGTATAGTAACATGAAAAATTATGTTTTCACCATAATCCCATTTTTCTTATTTATGAAAATATTCGACAAAGCTTTTTATTTAAATATCTTATGATACTCTGGGACACAGACACATTGTGTTAGAAAAACTATCACTCTAACCTGTCTACACTATGGTAATGCTAATACTACTTTTTAGTGATTTAATTAATTTTAATAAATCTCAAGAACAAAGAGTTTTTAAAAATTGTAACACTTCAAAATAATATATTTTTTTTTCTGCAAGGTGGATTGGTGACATCCAGCAATGATAACAAAATAAAGCAAACCTAAGTCGTTGAATACATAACATTAAAGGAACTTGTATTTAAAAATTTGTCAGCTGGTATTATTTGTAGGAGTAATCTAGATGTTGGCAAAATAGCACTCCTCTGTTTCATTTTTTAAAATAAACTATGAAATAGAAAATTACACACGATTAAAACTAATGGAATACTATGTTTTTAAAAACCCTAAAATATAATAATATAAAGTACCAAGGTAAAGGTGCAGGGTGGGGTCACTAAAGTACATGCTCCCCAGCAAAGGCATCTGTTTAAAAAAGAGCGAATTATAAAAGTGCAGCTTAGCTCTCTTTCTGCTTCATTTTGGGAGAGACTATTTCATTTCCACTTATTAAAAATAGTAGAGATTTTTTTTCCACATGAATATATTCAGCTTAAATAAGTATTACTGAAAAATTGGGTGATATGTTTTCAAACTTAGAAGGAAATATTGCTCATCCAGAATTAATAATAGCTTAGTATTATTAATGTATTTTCTAATACTCTCTATTATGAAAAATAGTTTTCATCTGATTCATTACTCAAAACCAATTTTTTTTATTCAATAGCCCATTTTTTTCCCAAGCAAATCTTATGCTGTTTAAAAAAATTAATTTTGGGGAAGAAGAAAAAATTTTAGTTGTTTTTCTATATCAATTTTGTCATGGAGTAAGTACCTTTAGTTACCCCTTTTTCCCTGTAACTTACCATTTTGCACACTCAGGTATACTTGAAGAAGTCATTTACCAGATGTGTTTTCAATAAACTTTTCATTAAATAAATAATTTTAAATTAGAGATATATGTCTTTATCATTTATAAATTGTACCAATTGATTCAACACTTTCTCACTCCCAGTAATTCCTAACATACTACAACTCTTTTACATTTTTATCCTCTGTTTTTAAGTCACCTACTATTTTATATATCATCCAATTATTATCAGAAAAAGAATAGAAAAATCAATTGTCCTGCAGCAACAACCAAACCAAATTTGCTCATTTTTCTAAGTATAGACTAACTTAGTTGTACAAAAATATCTCTAGGAATACCATATATTTTTTCAGTTTATCATTTGGGTAACAGACACTTTCAAGGCGACTTAAGTTTTTCAGTGATTGAGATGGACAGTGATGGTTCCTCTTCTCTCTTTGGTTTGTTTTTCTATCTCTATGCTAGTTAAGTCCTCTGTGCTGCACTCAGTGTACTTTCCACCCAATTCAGCCTTCTCCTGATAGAATATATCTTCTCAACATTTTCATACTTTTTTAAATTGTAAAATCTCACTGTCTTGTGTCTACTTCTTTTGCATTTTACTATGCAGCTAATTACTGCCCCGTGATCAATCAATTACTGTTTAGATACTAATGGTGATACAGGTTTAAAATCTCCATCTGTTTCTCTTTTCCTTTATATTTGAATTCTCCTACAAGTCATCTGAAAGCTTCAATGCTTTATTCCTGATTAACATTTTAGTGATTAAGTAAATCTTGAGGGTGGGAAAAAATGTCTGTCTTGATGGACAATCATTTGTGATTAAATGAATGAATGGATATTAAGATCTTTGTATGAGTATTTTTATAATACACACCCCTGAAAATCCCACATTCAGCATTCATGATTCTCAGCATTTAGGAACAAATCTTAAAATATGTGAAACTTTGTATTTTTGCTAGATAAAATTGTTAACAATATCTGAGCAGTTAGCTGTTAAATTAGCCAACCAATCTCATGATTTCCATGTGATATCTGAACTTTTATCATTATCTATTTTATTTTTATACCCATTAAATATCATGTTACCTTTTAAATAAAATAAAGTCCTAAAGAAAGTCATTTGTGAATTACTTCATTAATATTTAAGTGAAGATGTCTAATAAAATATGTCTACTGATTCACGAATCATGAGTTTTAGCCGGTTTTTTGTTTTGTTTTTATTTTTGAGACAGGGTCTTGCTCTGTCACCCAGACTGGAGTGCAGTGGTGTGATCATGGCTCACTGCAGCCTCAGCCTTCCAGGTTCAAGTGATTCTGCCACCTCAGTATCACAAGTAGGTTGGTCTAGAGGTGCATGCCATTATACCCAGCTAATTTTTAAGTTTTTTTGTAGAGATGAGATCTCACTCTGTTGCCCAAACTGTTCTCAAATTCCTGGCCTCAAGCAGTCTTCCCACCTTGGCTTCCCAAAGTGCTGGGAGTCACCTTGCTTAGCCAGAGAGTTAATCAGTTTTAATCAGAAAAATGTCTGGGAATATTAAAAAGACTAGGCTTAATATTTGCTAATATAATCTACATGTCTCACATGACCTATATATTCTCTACGTCACCCTGCTTGGTTACTCTAAAAATTTGCCATTATGTGGAAAACAGGTTAACTAGAAACTAAAAAGATAACATGAGTAAACTTGATTAGACTTTGAGAAAAAATAAAATTAAAACTGCTGTAAAAGATAATTTAAGTGAAAATTGGTCTAGATATCTGACAGCATTTTTTAATATATTGTATTAAGAAATTTCTCAGCCAGTCATAGTGGCTCACACTTGTAATCCCAACACTTTGGGAACCCCATGCAGGAAGGCTGCTTGAGACCAAGAGTTTGAAACCAGCCTGGACATTACAGAGAGACCCCAACTCTGCAAAAAAAAAAAAAAAAAATCCTGGGCATGGTGGAATATTCCTGTGTTCCCAGTTTCTCCCAGGGCTGCGTTTGGAGGATTGTTTGAGCCCAGGTGATCAAGGCTGCACTGAGCCATAATCATATCACTGCACTCTGGACTGGACAATAGAGTGAGACCCTGTCTCTAAATAAATAAATTAATTAAATTTCTCTTTACTTTCTTATGTGCACATGCACATGAAGGTTGGTCTTCAGTTGCCCTGTTGAAATTAGAGTGTGGTGAAACAATGCAAGATATACTGTGGAGGTTTTTTATTTGTTTTTGTTTTCCTGTGAGTTATAAACAGTTCATTCTCTGATGCAGAGGTATGGTGTTTCCCTCAACATATGTTGTACTAAACTGGCAGGCTAACTTGTTAGCTTGTAAGTAGGGTAAATCTCAGATCTTTCACAATTTAACTCAAAATTTTTGAAAGCAAGGATGATACAACATTGAAGACCTTTGTAGAGGAAGTCGAGAACCACACAAGTCAATAAGAATCAGTAGCAGACAGATTGACCAACTGTAGTTTCAATTAGGCAAAACTGGTCTTTCTCTTTGCTGTACATTAATAAGGAAAGGTTATTGAAGGCCTACATCTAGGACGTAGGGTTGAAATAAGTGAACGGGAAGCCCTAATGGTCAGGGGGAGAAAAGGTCAAGGAATTTCCAAAGCTTGTATAAGGCTTTTGTCAAGAAGAAAACATTAGAAATGATTTTGTTTGTTGCTGTCTTTACCAGGTAGGAACAGAAAGGGATAATTAGCTTCCAGAGCTCTTGTAAGGCTGAAGGTCATCCAAGAACATGGGTAGTTGAACCATAAAAAGTCATTGCACTGCTCTAACCTAGCTTACTTATTAGCATGAAGACTCTTTAATAGATTTGCCCATTCCTTTCTTCCCCCTCTATTCAAACCTCAGTTGCCTGAAGGATTCTTGGTGATTTCTTCGTCTCACTACAGCAAAGGGAAACTGGAATTTTTTTCTACCCATCTGAATATACCATGGAACTCAGGGAAAGGAGGGACTCAAACTTTTGTAACTATATTGCAAACATGTGCCCACATCACCAACAGGTCAAATTCTGTTGGGGAGGAGTGCTGAGTATATGAGTGAATGAAGATGTGGAAGAATGTCACTCTTGGCAGGTAAAAGGACAGAAAGGAAGAGCCTCTGACTCTGAGAGGCCCCCACCAACCATACAACCCCAGATGCCCGCAGTGCTTGGGGAATAAAATAAAGAACAAAATACAGAAAAAAAGCTCATCATCTTCCTCCCACATGCCCACCCTGTAGCCTTACCACTCTGAGTCTGTTTTTGCCTCAAAGCCCCAGATGAGAGAGAACATTGGGATTTCATGGCAGTTGTAATTATAGCCCTTGAAATGCCAAATTCAGCTACTAGGGCTTGAGCAAAACTTGCAGTGAATGAAAACAAAATGGTTAAAGTTATTTTATGATCAGAGTCCTTTAGGCTGATTTATGGAATTGAGTCCTTATTTGCTTCTACATTTAAATCTATGATAGAAACAGATGATAAGTTATATTAATTCCTCTTCTCATACGTTTCTCAGGGAATTATCCCAGTGAAAAAACAGCTACAGGTAGAGAACTCTGTTCCTGGGACAGATTTCCCTGCCATTTCCCACTGGTGAGATAATTTATATTTATAGCAGTTGACTCAAGCCACTGACATTCTAGCAAATCAAGAAAATACTATGTACCTCTGTTCCCTTATCAAAAAGGAGGCTTAGGACCTTATTGAGTCAAGCATTGCTTTTCAACAAGGGCACTGTAGACAAAAAGGAGCTGCTTTTAAAGTAGCATATCTAGTAGCCATGACAAAAGCCTAAGTTCCAAAAGCCCAAGAAATTTTTATCCCCTTTGGTCAGAGATACAAATCAGCAAAAAATATCATCAGTTAAAAGAAAGTTGCTTCACTTATAGAGGCCTGACAACTTGGGGGTTGGTTTAGTTAGGACTTTATAACTAGTAAAACAGGAAGGGACCAAAAAGCCTCATTTGTCAAATGGACACTGATAATTGAGGAATGTGGCCAACCTAATCCCCAGGGAAATAATGACTTTGCAAGAAAAATGGTAGCTATTTCTGTGAGTAAAACATGACTTCCAATTCACTGGCTAGAGCAAAACTACTCACTCAATAAGATATTCAATTCACAGAAGGGTGCCTTTCATACCTGTGTTTTGTTTAAGGATGTTAAGCTAAACCAAAGCCCAATGGTGTCTGCTGTAGCTGTTTCAGCCTCATCACCAGTTATGCTGGGATATAAGAGGGCAGTGGTTATTATTCCCAGTGGGAAGAACACAGACAGTAGAATTACTGCAAATTATAGACACCCCTTCCTTAGACGATGAACCATGAAACATCATGATTGCTGATCGAACCATCTGGGTTACTCTTAAATGCCCATGGGAAGGGCCCATTCTCTGATGAGACTGACTGGAATCGAAAACTTTCAGCCCGTGCTGCCTAGATTGTCATGATAATTCCATGGCAACCTCTCTACTATCGTAGACTGGATACAGAAGCAAGGATTCTAGGTTTCTGATGCAGAGGCTACCACTTCATGGCAGACTTGTGTCTCCTGCCAACAATTTGCCTGGTTATCCCAAGGTTGCGGAGGCCACATTCTAGATACTGTGACTACCCCCCAACACACATGCTCATTTTGAGCATACGGCTTACATGAGGTTTTTCCCTTCTCGGGGCTATTGGTGGTGCCTTGCTGTTGTTAACACCTTTTTAGGTTATGAAATCTCTGTCATGCTCCAGACATGAGACTATAGCTGCTCTGGAAACAAATATGCATTATGAGTTTAGCTTTCTAGACTCTTGGAATTGTGTCAATAATGTTCATTTTATAATGAAAGCCACTCAAGACCTTAGACTGAAAGTCAAGGTATTCAATAGATATTCAATGTTCATTACTATCTACAAGCATAAGATATTATTGAGCATTGGAATTCTGCTTCAAAATTTTACCCTAACTTATTTCTGTCTCTACTTACCATGCATTTTCCCAGTAAACACAGACTACATTAAGGTAGCTTAGTCATTAAGTGAAACCACCCCTGCCCACAAAAGGGATGATCTTTTCTAAGTTGTTTACTGAATAATGATCAGGATCATAAAAGTCCAATTTATAATGACCTATGTGAAAATTCAGAATTTGGTCCTAACCATTCCCAAGCATCATTTGCCATTCTGTATCTTAGAAGCAAATATAAACCCAGCTAATTGGTAGCCTGACTAAAAAGGGCTTAGGGGATTTAAACTTAGTTCCAGTTAAATCGTCTAAAAATATTTTTGATCCTCTTTTATTCAGCCACTCCAGACGAAAGGTCTGGGTAAAAGTTAGGGATGATTTTAAGAGGGGCAGGTATAGTTACTAAAATGATAACCAACAGAATTTGTGCAGATGGAAGGACAGAAAAATCCTCTGCATCTTGGGAAAGATTATCATAGATTTTTGGAGTATAGGGAAGGGGAAAATTAATTTTTAAAAATCTTTTAAAACCCCCTCCGGTGCTTTCTTCTCAAAGGAAAACAGTGTGGTGCTACTCTTGCAAACCGTTGTGGAAACCTGTGGATTAAACTCTCCACTGAGTTTCTCAGCCATAACCAGATGCCACTGACAACAAAACAGCCTGTCCCACACCAAAAATATCTCTACATTTGTCCTATCTTTATGCTTATTTATTCTATGGGGATCAATAAATTGGTGTACTGGACAAGTAGGACACATTGAACTGACTGCTTTTAGATGATACCTGCTAGAAAACCCCTCTGGAAGTATGAGAATGGCACTGTCAAGCTGTGCATACTGACTGATGTATATTCCATTTGGGTGGAAGGGGGAGACAACTATAAACAATAATTATTTCCAGAGGCACCACACATATCTTTGGGATTGCCTTTCTTGTGTGAGAGCCAGGTATTGACTTGTCTCCCTCACAGGAGACATGGTGATTTGTATGTTAAGGCATGTTAGTGACATTTGACTATATAAAGAAAATGCACAAATAGATCATGTAGCCTTCAGATAACTGCAGAGGTCTCTCAAAAATGAAGCTACCCTCAGATATTCAGGGAAATCCCAGAAGGATACAAGACTCATGACTTGTGCTATGTGGGCAGTTTTAACTACAATGGGAATCATTCGATTACAAATGATATTATAAAATGTGTCTGTGACTTAGGTAAAATAATCGATGACACCCTCCTAGCCATGGAAGGCATTCAAACCATCTTCAACTCATTAGACAGAAATTTTATGAATGATACCAGTATTCTCACCTTCAAACAAAAAGATTAAGGGGGAAGTAGCTATCATGCTAGGACTTTGGTAATGCCTCAAAGAAGTTGGAAAAGTCATTACAGAAATTTATATAGAAAACTACCTGGCTTTCTGAAGTTGACCTGAAGGTTTACGGTATTTGTTCCTCTGGCTATATCAAGGCTGCTTGACATGGTTGAGTTCAATAGTATAAGTTTGACACTAGTCTTAAGTAAGTGCTACATAAGACAAGCTGATGAACAGATTTGATATCAGCCAGGGTGAATTATATTAGAGTAACAGAGGGAGTGGGGAATAATACAAAAATTTGCCAAGAGCCAGGGCATTGTAAAACCAGGAAGTGGATATTCAGAGAGAAAATTCTCCTTGGGTTTCTCATATTCCATGCATTCTGGGCAAAGGACATGACAAACTATAATAAAAATAGAAAACACCTACCCACACACTCCTTGGAATTGCTTTTCAGGGTTGTAAGAAACTAAGGACCTCCCCCTACACTCACCAAAGAGAATTTGTTTATTTTGTAGAAGTAAAAATAAGGTTTTCATATATTTCCAGAGAAAACGGTAACAGATGTGCTAGCAGCCCCTGTGTTAGCTCTGAATCTCATGATGTTGGAGTTCCTCCTTTATGTAAAACCCAATACATGTGCTGAAAAACCACTCACCCTCACTGTTACACTGTTGGAAACTGGGGTGTGGGGAACTAATGGCAAATACTATCCTATCTTCTGTGCTCCGTGTAATAAAATGTTTGTTTTTTATAGAAACACCAGACTACTATATAAGATAAAAGACTATTACAACCAAAAAGTAGCTGAAGTGTGTACGTAGGCATATATGTAAGCATGTGCATACATGTGTTTATGTGTGTATGTATGTGTATACGCACACATAGTTTTAGTTAACAGAATAAAACTGCTTTCATTTTTAAAAATTTACATATAAACATATGTATATATATTTATAAAAGCTGATAGAATTTAGCCAATGTTAGTGTGTACCTTTAGCTTTGGATTCCTTGAAATTATATTTTCAAACCAACTATAACATAAAACATAGAGTATCTTCTCAGCTAGGTATTATTTTATTATATTTCTTGCAGCTATCTTTAAACTTTTTACAAGATACATTATCATATAATTTGACCATTATTTATTTGTAGGCACACATTTAAATTCAAATAATATAGCTACATTGATTATCTATTGTAGATTGGAAAAACATACAGTAAACATTGGAAACACAATTAAATAATTCACAAAGAAAATCAAATTGGTAATTATTCCAGATTGAGTCTGATTTCTTGATTACATTTTATTTACTAAGAATAATGCTTCTATACTTAAATTTGTATTTTTAAAAATTCTACTTGATATGCCTTTACCTGTACAGAACATGTAAGCTTTTTGAAAGAATTAAGTGCGTCATTATTTATTTTTATAATCAACTCTAATTATAATTAAGGCCTTAATATGTAATTTGTTATACGATTACCTTTTGTATCTTTCTAAATAATATGACCCCTATTTACTGTTCAAGTTCAACCTAATTATTACAGGAATTACTTTTTGGTTTCTAAGACATTTTACATAAAAAAAGTTTTGATAAATGTTATTGAGCTTCAAGAATCGATTTTGGTTACTGTACAAAAACTTTTTTGGATGGTGTAATTATTTAAGATTTCTTAGCAAAATATTCTATGACATAAATTAATGCAATGACAAATATATTAAATTCAAATGTCTTAAGAATTCTCATTACAATTATCTACAAACTCAATTATTATCATGCCAAAACAAATCAGTTGCCACATTCAACATTTTAAAAATACTTTAATTCAAAAACCTATTGCAGAAAACACTGTATCAGTTTCTTAAAAGATATACCTGTAACTGCCATGTGACACAGAAATTGCACTCTTGCATGTCTATCCCAAAGAAATAAAAACTCATGTTCATACAAAAACCTGTACACAAGTGTCCATAGCAGCTTTATTCATAAAAGCCAAAAATGAAATCAGCCCTAATGTCTTTCAACAGGTGAATGGCTAAACAGACCGCTGAAGTTCTATAACATGAAATACTTCTCAGCAATCATAAAGGCACTGGCTATTAATTTATACTCATCATGAACGACTCATCAGAGAATTATTCTGAGTAAAAAAAAAAAAAATTAATTCCAGAACGTTACATAGTGTATAATTCCATTTACATGAATTTTTAAAATTATAGTATAAATAAGAACCTAGGAAGTTAAATTGAGAGTTTTAGAAAAGCATAATGTATTTTTAGAATTTTTAAAACCAGTTAATGCTTATGTAAACCTGAAGTAGTATAGGTGTAGTAGTGGTATTGTAAGTAGTTCTGAGGTTTGTAGCAGTAAAAGCTTCCTCAATATTAACAGTTCCAGTGATCTATCCATTACCATGCCTCACTAACTTTTTTAAATTTTCTGTAGAGATGGGGTCTTGCTTTGTTGCCTATAGGTCTTGAACTCCTGGCCTCAAGCAATCCTACTGCCTCTGTCTCCTAAAGCACTGGGATTACAGGTGTAAGCCTTTGCACTCAGACCATTTTCAAGAGATTCATGTCTTACAATGCCTATATTAATTAATATTCACTCTTAATTTCTGAAATTAATTTATATTTTATAAAATATAAAATTTTATCATTTTAAAAGATTGATATCAGAAATAGCCTTAATTATTATTTTTAAATTGCATTGTCATTCTTCTTTTCTGCTTTTGTCCTTCCAATGATTTGGACTTTGTGAAAGAGAGCTTCCCTGAATGTTTTCAAAAGACAGATGGGAAACATGTTGGCTTTTCTTGCTTACACAATTTCCTGTTGAGTGTGAAATTAGTAGGAACATTCTAAATGACTCTGCCTGATTATCAGTGGAACTTTGTCACAGACAACCTTTAATAATGATTGGATATTATTAGTTTTAGGAAGTCCCAGAATAACTATATCTCTTCTAATTAAATTTTAGTTGTGTCAACTATCTTATCCCAAAAGTGTAATTCTAATTTTAATTATTTTTTTCCGACTGGATAATATGTTTGAAGAATAAACAGACATGTTTTATGACTCCTAAATCTTGATACAAATATAGTGAACTAAAAAGTTATAGCTTCTCAAAAAAATAGATTCAAACCACAAACTTGTTGCTGAGTGTTGACCGTGAGATTAGATTTGGGGATGGTCCAGGCTGATTCAGCAGTCTTTGCAGGTAGGTTTTACTGGGGGCGGGGTGGGGGGGCAGAGTAGGAATTAAAGATGAAAACAAATTATTTTTCCCTTCTCTCATCAAGAAATGAAAAAGATTTTTCCTTCCCTTAAACCTCGGCTAGAATTTTGACATGCTTTGACTAACTGAATATAGCAAAAGTGATGCTGTTTAACTTCTGAATCATTAAGAAAGATGCAGCTTCCACTTTTGCATGCTTGGAACCCACCTTTAAAGCTAAGAAAAGCATAAAAGACATGGATAGGCCACAAGAAAAACAACAAAGATCTCTGATCAACAGCCCCAGCTCAATTCCAAGCCTAGGGTTAGCATCAGCTGACAGTGATATGCAAAGTTATCTTGAACATTCCAGTACAGTTGAGCCTCCAGATGATTGCGGCCTCATTAAATAACACTTGGAGCAGAAGAATTGCTCATCTGGGCTATATTAACCATAGAATCATCCATAATAGTTCTTGTCTTAGCCTACATAATTTTAGGGTAAACTGTTATACAGCAGTAGATAACTACAACTGGATAAATTGATTTTCTGAATTTCAACAACTCCTTTTATATTACTGGACACACTTGGGCAACTTGGATAATAGAGTGTCATAATAAGCAAAAGGTAGAAAAAATACGAGAATATGAAATAAACAGTGTACCCTCTCATAAGAAGCCAACATATCAGTCCTTCTGATGAGAAGATGAGTGCAAAGGAAAAACGGTAAGAATCACAGGAGGAGGCAAGGTAAAGGGCACTTTTTGAAACATTAGATCAGTTTAGCTCTCTATGCTCCTTTTACTCAAACATCCTGCATAAAGGCAATAGAATGGCACTAATCAAGAGAGATTTCAACAAAACAGGAAAATGATGCTGTTATTGTGTATGAGACCAACATTTTCCTGCATGCCCACAAGGGGTTTTCAGAGAGCTAAGAGACAAATAAGCCTGGGGTCAGAAAATGGGGGATCCAGAAAGTGGAATCTCACCAAGAACTCAGGCTAAGAGAGCAGGAGATACCGGTACATATACAGACGCTGAATGGAACCTTTCATGATCACCGGCAGATTCAATTAAGACATAGGTTAAAGGTCAGGGAAACAAGGATGACAAGGCAGCACAACCAAAGACCAGAAAATACCAGGAGAAATGAACATTTTCCTCAAAATGAACCTCAAAATTCATTTCCTCAAAATGAACCTCAAAATTGCTATCATGAAGACATATAGCATCCTTCATACACAGATTATATCAAGGCACATTTTCTGTTTATTAGTTTCTGTAACGCTCTTAACTTACCTTAAAGAGATTCTGTTGATTTGACAGAGATGGGGATGTATTATCTTGTCCACAATTGTTGTACATTTGATAATGCATGAGAAATCAAATCTAGAGTCATGTAACTGGTGCAGCACTGGATCTGCATAAACACACGTGGATTCTTGAGGGCTTATATGCTCCCATCTCGACCTAACAGTAGAATAAGCAGAAGACTCTGGTATTAGCCTTTCTCATCTTGGGTTTTCCCACTCCCTATAGACTGCACTGGTCATTAAAATAGAAAATACTTAGGAAAAAAAGCAAAAACTTAGTCCACTCAGTTGTTTATATCCCTTTATCATACCTTTCTTTCTGAAGTGTTGTCACCTTGTGTGTTGTAAGTTAGAGCAAAAACAATTTAATCCAAGTATGGGTCATCATTGTCTCCAATCATTAAAGGGAGACAAAATCTTTATGGTTTAGCCAAGCTTGTACTTTTACAGGTTAAGATTAAATACTTCTTATAACTTAGTATACTGGGAATGATTTAAGAAGTTAAAACAATGGTAAATGCTATGTTTTTTGTTTGTACATCTGTGATCTTACAGCTTTATTATAACATGAAAATTCAACACATTCTTTCTCTATATACCTTTTAAGTTTTACAAACTGCATGATACATGCATTAAAATGTAGATGGCCTTAGATTATACAGCATAGAAGGCCAAAGGTCATAAGGCTAATGTTCACAAGCCAAAATTCAATTTCAGGTTACTATATTCTTGGGTTACGATTATGAGCTTATTTTTTCATCTGTAAATAGAGGACAAAAATGTCTGTTTTGTCTCTTAAAGAGTAATGACAACATTTGAATACGATAATTGATAGCAACAGTTTTTGGAGAATTTCTTAATGGGAGATATACAGCAGGAAATTGAGGCAGCAGAAGGTCAGAAGCCAGGAGACAGGAAGCGGGATGATAGTGAGAGAGAAATTGTAGTCAGAATCCTCAGCAATGAGACATTCCTAGGTATAATGGAGAATAGGGAAGGCATCAGTAGTTGAATCTCGGAAAAGACAAGCAGAGGCCTGATAAACTCCATCTCAATTATGACATATCATCGACGGGGCATTGTAAAGAGAAATCCAATTACCCAGGATATCTGAGTTTGCAGTGGAGAAAGATTTCTTCACTGCATTATTTCCCTAAGTAGCCTCAACATATATGCCCTTTCACATTATGTGAATGTAGAAAAATATCACATGTACACCAAAAAATATGTGTATCTATTATATATCAATTAAAATATCCATCAAGAAGAGAACAGAAGTGTGTCTTTTGCTTGCAACTTTAAAGAATCAAATTACAAAAATATAATATCTTGAAGGCAGGAAATGTACAAATTATATACGTTTTAGTAAGTTATCACAGTGGCTCACACCTATAATCCCAACACTTTGGGAGGCTGAGGCAGATGGATCACCTGAGGACAGGAGTTCGAGACCATCCTGGTTAAACTGGTGAAACCCCATCTCTACTAAAAATACAAAAATTAGCAGGGCATGGTGGTGGGCGCCTGTAATCCCAGCTACTTGGGAGGCTGAGGCAGGAGAATCACTTGAATCTGAGAGGCAGAAGTTGCAGTGAGCCGAGATCATGCCATTGCACTCCAGCCTGCATGACAGAGACAGACTCCATCTCAAAAAAAGAAAGTTATATTGCTTTTGACTTCAAAACTCATTCAAACTTCTATTAAAATATTAACATTTTAGTTCTGTGCTTTGAATTAGCTGGTTTAATGTTTAGAAAAATTCTTGAAGCCGTAAAGGTGGTTGTTAACAGGACTGCTGATTTGAATACAATCTTTCAGTCACCACCTTATACCATTGCAAAAGCAACAAGGGAAATTTCAAAATAAAATTTTCAGAATCTATTAGCAGTAAAACTAGAACACAGATAAATCAAATACTCCAAAATTTGGTAAAGATTATTGAAAGAGCTAAGATCAGGTAGAAATTCAGGGAGAAGAAGTAAAGAAAATATGATAAAGTGCTTAAAAAGCCCAAAGGTAATGAATTTTAGAAAAAAATAACAGAAAAAAATATGAAGGTAAAATCGTGTCATGAAATGATCTTTTAATCCCTTTTTTTGAAACAAGCTAAAAAATGATGTGAATCTGAACTCTGTCAGAATTTCCCTGGGACCTCCTTTGGTCAGATAACAGATGGTACAGCTTTATACTAATAATGACTACAACAAGATAGCTCAAAGAAAGTAGTCTGTCTGACTCTGTAATTTAGAAAAAGTTTGCCTTTGGATTATTAATACCAAAAGGCTATTCTGCCTCTTCCTCTTCATGATTATCCTAAACTGCCTTCAAATATCTACTTTGAAAAGAATCTATTTTATGTATTATTAAAAAATAAGATAAAATAAATTAGTACACATAGATACAATAACACCATAAGGAGAAACAAATTTTAAGTCATAATCATAAATCATAAGCACACAGTAGAAAAATGCTCAAATATTTCCACAAAATATTAGTTTTGTTGAAATAGGTTGCCATTAATTTTTAAAATAAAGTTAATGATGTAACTTTCTATCTGAAAAATTACAAAGCAGAATAACAGGGATGTAGAGAAGAATTAGTGAGACAAGGGGGATTAGAAGTGAACACAAAGAATTAAGTGGGATTAGAAAAAATTATTAATCATAAGAAGGGCAAGACAAAATGCAGATAGAGAAAGATACTGTGAGAAATGAAAATATAAAAGAGAAGAACAATTTAACTAAATGGACTAAGTGGAATTGTGAAATAAAATTAAAGAGAAGCTTTACTTCAAGCAGTGGAGTGGTTTGTAAAAGAAAAATGTTCTTAGATGAGGAAGACGAGGGAAGAGCAAGGAGGGGATGAAGGACAAGGACCACCACCACACACACATGCGCACACACACACACACACAAACACACACAGATTCACACTATGCATTAGATTATCTCTACAAATGTTCACATCAAATGTCTGGCACTCAAAAAAAAGGTAGGTAAGCATAAAAGAAGAAGCAATTAATAAAAAATTCCAGAGAATAGCATAAAACTAAAAACCATAGAAGATGTAGATATTGGGATGGCCAGACATGCAATGCACATTAAAATAATTGTGAATGAAACATATTTTTAACAAAAGAACAGGAGAGTCTTTTAAAATTAAACTAGATTTTTAAAAACTGAAATGAAGCATTAGTTGAATTGAATGAGCAAAATTTAGAAAATAATTTATTTATTTATTTATTTATTTTCAATTATACTTTAAGTTTTAGGGTATATGTGCACAACGTGCAGGTTAGTTACATACATATACATGTGCCATGTTGGTGTGCTGCACCCAGTAACTCGTTATTTAACATTAGGTATATCTCCAAATGCTATCCCTCCCCCCTCTCCCCACCCCACAACAGACCCCAGTGTGTGATGTTCCCCTTCCTGTGTCCATGTGTTCTCATTGTTCAGTTCCCACCTGTGAATGAGAACATGCTGAGTTTGGTTTTTTGTCCTTGTGATAGTTTGCTGAGATTGATGGTTTCCAGCTTCATCCATGTCTCTACAAAGGACATGAACTCACCCTTTTTTATGGCTGCATAGTATTCCATGGTGTATATGTGCCACATTTTCTTAATCCAGTCTATCACTATTGGGCATTTGTTTGGTTCCAAGTCTTTGCTATTGTGAATACTGCTGCAATAAACATACGTTTGCATGTGTCTTTATAGCAGCATGATTTATAATCCTTTGGGTATATACCCAGTAATGGGATTGCTGGGTCAAATGGTATTTCTAGTTCTAGATCCCTGAGGAATCGTCACACTGACTTCCACAATGGTTGAACTAGTTTACAGTCCCACCAACAGTGTAAAAGTGTTCCTATTTCTCCACATCCTCTCCAACGCCCGTTGTTTCCTGACTTTTTAATGATCGCCATTCTACCTGGTGTGAGATGGTATCTCATCGTGGTTTTGATTTGCATGTCTCTGATGGCCAGTGATGATGAGCATTTTTTCATGTGTCTTTTGTCTGCATAAATGTCTTCTTTTGAGAAGTGTCTGTTCATATCCTCTGCCCACTTTTTGATGGGGTTGTTTCTTTTTTTCTTGTAAATTTGTTGGAGTTCTTTGTAGATTCTGGACATTAGCCCTTTGTCAGATGAGTAGATTGCAAAAATTTTCTCCCATTCTGTAGGTTGCCTGTTCACTTGGATGGTAGTTTCTTTTGCTGTGCAGAAGCTCTTTAGTTTAATTAGATCCCATTTGTCAATTTTGGCTTTTGTTGCCATTGCTTTTGGTGTTTTAGACATGTCCTTGCCCAAGCCTATGTTCTGAATGGTATTGCCTAGGTTTTCTTCTAGGGTTTTTATGGTTTTAGGTCTAATATTTAAGTCTTTAATCCATCCTGAATTAATTTTTGTATAAGGTGTAAGGAAGAGATCCAGTTTCAGCTTTCTACATATGGCTAGCCAGTTTTCCCAGCACCATTTATTAAATAGGGAATCCTTTCCCCATTGCTTGTTTTTGTCAGGTTTGTCAAAGATCAAATGGTTGTAGATATGCAGCATTATTTCTGGGGGCTCTGTTCTGTTCCACTGGTCTCTGTCTCTGTTTTGGTACCAGTACCATGCTGTCTTGGTTACTGTAGCCTTGTAGTATAGTTTGAAGTCAGGTAGTGTGATGCCTCCAGCTTTGTTCTTTTGGCTTAGGATTGACTTGGCGATGCGGGCTCTTTTTTGGTTCCATATGGACTTTAAAGTAGTTTTTTCCAATTCTGTGAAGAAAGTCATTGATAGCTTGATGGGGATGGCATTGAATCTATAAATTACCTTGGGCAGTATGGCCATTTTCACAATATTGATTCTTTCTACCCATGAGCATGGAATGTTCTTCCATTTGTTTGTATCCTCTTTTATTTCATTGAGCAGTGGTTTGTAGTTCTCCTTGAAGAGGTCCTTCACGTCCCCTGTAAGTTGGATTCCTAGGTATTTTATTCTCTTTGAAGCAATTGTGAATGGGAGTTCACTCATGATTTGGCTCTCTGTTTGTCTGTTATTGGTGTATAAGAACGCTTGTGATTTTTGCACATTGATTTTGTATCCTGAGACTTTGCTGAAGTTGCCTATCAGCTTAAAGAGATTTTGGGCTGAGACGATGGGGTTTTCTAGATATACAATCATGTCATCTGCAAACAGGGACAATCTGACTTCCTCTTTTCCTAATTGAATACACTTTATTTCCTTCTCCTGCCTAATTGCCCTGGCCAGAACTTCCAACACTATGTTGAATAGGAGTGGTGAGAGAGGCCATCCCTGTCTTGTGCCAATTTTCAAGGGGAATGCAAATCAATAAACATAATCCAGCATATAAACAGAACCAACAACAAAAACCATATAATTATCTCAATAGATGCAGAAAAGGCCTTTGACAAAATTCAACAACCCTTCATGCTAAGAACTCTCAATAAATTAGGTATTGATGGGATGTATCTCAAAATAATAAGAGCTATCTATGACAAACCCACAGCTAATATCATACTGAATGGGCAAAAACTAG
This sequence comes from Homo sapiens, assembly GCF_000001405.40. Taxonomy (NCBI): domain Eukaryota; kingdom Metazoa; phylum Chordata; class Mammalia; order Primates; family Hominidae; genus Homo; species Homo sapiens. Next base: position 83,242,476 of record NC_000013.11, read on the forward strand.
GAAATAATTTAAAGTGAATTTGTGATATGGACTATTGCACAGGAAAAAATCCAGACTTAAGCATAGGGTAGTATTATAATAGAAAAAAAATGTAAAAATATATATGAAACACAATAAAGGATGATTAATCTATTTCTAAGAATTCTACAGAGAAAAAAAGAATAGGGAAGTAACAAGTAGCCAAAGAGATGATGGGTGTAAATTTTCAATACTAGTGAAAATCATCTGTCTACAGATCCTACACACCTGTGCCTTAGTAAAGATAAATATAAAGAGAATAACTCCTAGACATATGACAGAAAATGGTTAATTTTTTATATTTACAATGAAAAAAATCTCATAAGGAGTCAGAAAAAAATATTTAAAGGAATATATAGTAGGAAGATGAACTTTTAAAAAATATATATTAGTTTTTTCCTTGAAATATTGGTATGTAACCATTTCATAATCTCAGTGGTTTATTGCAAACATGCTTTATTTTTTTCATTTCATGGGTCTTGTAGATCAACTGGAGTTCACTTAATCTCAGCAGGGCTTACCTGCTGGACCAGTGTGGATTGAAGACTTGCAGTCAGGTAAGATCTATTCCATGCGTTCTTTCTAGAGCCCTGTAAGAAGCAACAGCAGCTACAGGGAGCAGACTCTTCTTGTGATGGACCATAGAGGCAAGCCAAACCACACAAGTATATTTAAAGCTAAGCTTTTAGTCTTATTGGCTAACATTCGATTGGCCAAAGTACAGCTGCATTAAATAGTTGGGAAAGTATACTTTGCCTACTGTAATTGGAGGAAATTGGAAAGTCACATGCAAAAACCCGTGGATGTATAATTCTACACAGAAAGCATGTAAATTAGTGGGAATACTTTCCCCTAACTACTACATAATGGAAGCTATTAAACAATGAAATGAAATCTTTAATATGCTAAAAGAATATGGCTTACAAATTACATTTCTTTTTTCATAGAAAACTTCAACAATATTTTACCTATTAACTCTTTTTGAAGAAATTATTCCAGATATAGTTTAGGCAACCAAGTAATTACTAGGATACCGTGACAGAAACACTGGCTTTGAACACCATATATGTTTAATCAAGGATATTTAAGTGTAATAATGTGGGAGTTAAAGTTACCGAGCAAAAATGTAAATATTTAAGCTCTAATTTTTTTGAAAACTCAATAAAACCGTGTGTAGAAGAAGAGAAAATAACTTGGGAGCTGTAAGTCTTGTAATTGCCTGCTTTGTAATAACTGAGTGTCAAAAGTATTAAAGCTGACAAGTAAAATAACAGTATTATCATATAGAACCGTGGAAAGAAAAACAAGTATATTATTATTGACAAAACAGAGTTAATGGAAAAGGATATAATGATCTTCAGTGATAATTATAGATTATGCCTAAATTAGTATAATATTAAAGGTATCATATAACTATAATAAAACCAAAAACAAAAATATAAACCATAGAAAATAGAGAAATAAATGACTATATTGCAGAAAAAAACAGAGATCAAAGCACATACTTAGAGAAAAACAATACAAGAGAAATAAAAGGCATAATTGTGATAAGATATGCCCCAGTACAATCATTATGTCTTATACGTAAATACAATTGAGTTAACCTAATCTTTAAAAAAAGAAGTTTAAATCATGTAACAGAGACAGTTAGCTCTTCTCCAGTCTTTTTTTTTTATTATTATACTTTAAGTTCTAGGGTACACGGGCACAACGTGCAGGTTTGTTACATACGTATACATGTGCCATGTTGGTGTGCTGCACCCATTAACTCATCATTTACATTAGGTATATCTCCTAATGCTATCCCTCCCCACACCATACGCCATGACAGGCCCCAATGTGTGTTGCTCCCCATCCTGTGTCCAAGTGTTCTCTTTGTTCAATTCCCACCTATGAGAGAGAACATGCAATGTTTGGTTTTCTGTCCTTGCAATAGTTTGCTGAGAATGATGGTTTCCATCTTCATCCATGTCCCTACAAAGGACATGAACTCATGATTTTTTATGGCCGCATAGTATTCCATGGTGTATAAGTGCCACATTTTCTTAATCCAGTCTATCATTGATGGTCATTTGGGTTGGTTCCAAGTCTTTGCTATTGTGCATAGTGCTGCAATAAACATACATATGCCTGTGTCTTTATAGTAGCGTGACATACCCAATCCTGCTGGAAATGACAAAGGATACTATTTAATTTATGATATTAGGGGACATTAAATTTGGTTTAAGCTCATTTGAAACTGCCTTATTTTTAAAAGTATTGTTTTAAGCAACCCTTCATTTCCTCGCTGAAACTTAAAAAATTATAAGATTGACTAATTTAAATTTCAGAATTTTTCTTGACCTATGGGTTACCTAAACTATACTTCTATAGTAAGAATATTTAAGAATTACCATTAGTATTACTATTCTGATTTCTAACAATATTTGTTTTACAAAATTTTTATTGCTGTTATTTCCTGCTGTGATGGTGGATCAGAATGGTCAATTAAATTGTAATTAACTCTCAGAAATATTTATCTAAAAACCCAAACTATAACATATGTGATGAATGAAAGCTTACTTTTTTGGTAAAAATGGAAATGTGGGAACTTACATAAGGGTAAAAATCTTACCAAAGTGTAGTTAGAAATTCCTCATAACTCTAAGAGACTGAACTCTCTATATACAGCAAACAATAAATTGAAATATCTAAAACAGTCAGCTTCATAACTAACAAAAGATCAGGCGTTGATACAATATTTGTTAAAAAAACGTGATTAAACCTTGCTATAAGCAAGTCTGCAAAATAATATAATTACAATTTGTTGAGTACAATAACAAAATGACCAGAAGAGCCATTATAAAGGCAATAATTAAATAATCATATAAAAACAAATGGCATTTTACATACTTCTAGGAAAAAAGAGCCCATGAGTTCTGTTATTAGAATCTTCAATCCATCTGTCTTTGTTTCTTTAGCAATTAAAACTATGAAATGTGTTACTCTTAGAAGCTTAATCTTCCAGGCACTCTCTAGAAAACTTTCTCCATGTTTTGTACTATGAAATTGAATATATATGTAGTCACTTTATTCTGTATTGTAAAGTTTAAATATGATCACTTCTTTTATGTTAATTCTGAATACCTCTTAATCATTCAATTATTACATTATATCCAATATGAAAATAATTATTTTATATACATATTATATGTGTATATATATATATTTACCCAAAGAAAGAACTCAATTTTTCAGTTAAATTTATCTTTTAGTGATACATTGATTTAGTGTATACATGTCTTTCAAAAGCTTCCTAGAAGGAAAAAAAATCACAGAAATCATGAGTATATTAGTCTAAAAATAAGTTAGACCATCTAGAATGAAGTTAACTTCCTTTCCTTGGAGTATTAGTAATGTGTTAGAATACATGGATGTGATAGACTCACAAAGAAGGAAATTTGCCATGCTATATTTTATAAAGTCTAATAACACCAAGGAAAAGAGTCTGATCTTTGAAATTGTTTTACTACTAGAAATATTGAAATGACCTTGACTACACCTTCTAAAATTGCCACACTTTGTTAATGTGATTATAAGTTGCAAAATGGCTTTGTCTCCTTTCCTCATGAATATAGCTACAGACATATAACGGAGAGGCTGTTTTGAGTGGATTAGCAACTGCTAGCTTTGATTATCTTTGCCAAATAATCAACCCAATTGTAAAACTTACTTTAATAAAGCTGACATTAAAATACTGACTTTCAATTGGTGTTTTGAGTTTAAAATAAATGGAAAATAAATAGTAGGTTTCAAATATAAATGCCTCATTTACAAGAAAAGAAATACAATAAAATATTTTGACAACATATCTGACTAAATTAGCAAACTGCTAATACATCCAGAAACTTTGCTATCTCGAAAACTTCAAGTAATCTGTTGAAATATGGTGACTCCTGTGAACTTTAGTTGACTATGGGATGGTCCTTAAGGTACATATATTATTCTTATTCTATATAGCCTTTTGTTTCAGACAAGATCAGTGAGCAAACCAAGATTTTGATAATCGTCCAAATAGAGTCCTACAAATAGAATAAACAATGCATACAAAATGTTGGCTTAATAATAATTCAATCAATTGAAAATAACAAACTCAAAACAAAATAAACATAATTTTAAAAATTTGGTTAACATAATTAAGGAAACAAAAAGGAGAAACAGTTTCCATCTCTTGTCTCTGAAATTTTCTTTGACTTGCATTCATCTTATTGCTCTACTTTTTCCACATGGTGATTTATATGCCCCTGTTAGTGATTGATTCCTCTATGCACAGTCCCCAGGGAGAGGCATACCTTTAGACTAATTACATTGACTATAATATTAAACTAATATGTTCAATTGTGTGTGAATTACATAAGTGACTCTGAGACAAATAGGGATATTATAATTATCAAATATACCCCAAAATGGCAAAAATTGAAGTGTGCTGGAAAAAGAAAAAAAATACTAAGTGAGAAAATAGTCTTGCAAGAGGAGATACATCAACTATTATATTTTACTTTATCATAGAAATATTAGAGAAGCAAATAAGATTGTATTAAAGTTGGACTTTAATGGAGAGCAATCATTCTCTTTCCTTTTACATATCTGTTTCATCTAAATTAGTGAGATGATAGGGCATTTTTAACATAATAGTAGATCCATACAACAACATTGTTTGCCATTTTGTGATGTTAATATATATACTTTCTCAGTAAACATAAATAGTAATTCATAAAGCTTAAAACAATGAGATATTAGCCATATCAAAAGTAAACTATAATACCTCATTAGAAAATTTTTAAAAAGACCTGAATATGTAAATGTACTGAACATTCAAATTGTTTTTATTTTTCCTTCTTAAATGTACAATGAGATCGAATGTTATAAATACACCATTTCTTCATTTCAGAATGAAGTAGCTAAAGGAGTATTTTTGTTGCTAAGAAAATGACTATATTTGTACGTCAGGATTAAAACATAGAGAAGAATATTAAAAAACACTTTGGGAAATAACGGTAAAATATCACTTTAGGCCTATGATATAAAATACCTAATACTAACTCTCACAAAAGTATAGGTAATCCAATGAAGCACATTTCAGAAAGAAAGGGAGCCACAACTAAATTTAATAAGAAAAATAAAAACAAACAAAAAACTCTTCTGTTTTCATATATGAAATAGACTGGCTTCTTGAAAAGGTCATCCTCTATTTTTCTAAACTAGATCTCCTTCTTTATCCTTTAGGAATCACCCCAATGATGTTCCATTATATACTCCCATCATCAAATTTCTCAAACAACTCATTGACCAGTTACTCACAGTTGCTCATTTCTTACCAACTACGTTGTCTTAACCAAACTTTACTCAGCCTCTGTCTTTTCTACAAGCATCTAAACCAAGATTGAGCAGATTCACAAAAAAGTGAAACATGGCTCCCTTATCAGCTTCTTCTAAGAATCAGCTGACCACAAAGAGCCCCTATTCCTGTTGACTCCACTGTCATTTTCCCCTTCCTTGTTCAGCTTCTTCTTCATAGATTCTGCTTATTTTTGCTTGCCATCTTATTGATCACATAAAAGAAAATCCATTTCTTTTTTTTTTTCTATCCCCCAAATGAATGGAGTCCCTCTCTTCATGCTGAACTGCTTGGGGCTGTGCAAGGGGTGAGACGAGCAACCTTGTGGCCACCAACACAAGGACCACAATGGGTAAGACCCAAAGCCAACACAGCACTAGGTCTTGCCCAAGGCCTGTGGCGATCACTGCCTGGCCACCACCAGTATTCAGTCAAGACCAAGTGCTCTTCAGTAAACAGGTGACAAATCCAGCCAGGCTTGTATCCTTCTCTTCAGGGAAGCAAGCTCCCTCACAGCCCAGGATGGATCTAGAAACACTGTTCAGGAGCCAGGGCCCACAATTCCTTAAGGAATCCAGTAGTTGGGAATCTACTTGGTGCTTTATCTTACTGTGGCTGAGCTGGCACAAAAGCTGCAAGACGTAGTCATTCTCACTCTTTTCTCTCCTTTACTTAAGCATATGGAGTCTTTCCTTTTTGCCACCACTGCTCCAGATCACCCACAGTGAGTACTACCTGGCTACTTTCAATGTTCACTCAATGCCTAGGTGCTCTTCAGTCAGCCTGTGGTAAATGCTGCCAGGCCTGTGACTCTCCCTTCAGGAAACTGGGCTCCTCTCTGGCCTAGGTAAGTTCCAGGAATGTCACTAGGGAGCCAAGGCCCAGAAATGGGAACTCCAAGAGCTCACTTTTTGCTCTACCGCACTGTGACTGAGCTGGTACCCAAGCTACAAGACAAAGACTCCTTCATTATTTTCTCTCTTTCCTCAAGTAGAAAGAGCCTCTCCCCTTGGCCACCGAAGCTGGGAATGTACTAGATCACCCATGAAGCCAGCATGGCACTGGATCTCAGCCAAGTTCTGCAGCAAGTACTGCTGGCTACGGCAGATATTTATGCAAGACCCAAGGGATATTTGGTCATTCGGGGATGGATTCTGCCAAGATTAAGTCATTCTCCTTAAGGCAGTGGGTTTCTTTCTGGCCCAGGGCGTGTCTAATAATGTTGTCCGGGAGCTAGGACCTGGTATGGGGCCTCAAGACTCTGCCTGGTTCCCTATTCTACTGGCTGAGCTGGTATTCAAATTGCAAGAAAAATTATCTTTACCCTTCCTTCTCCTCTCCTCTAACAGAAGGAAAGAGTCTGTTGTGGAGCACAAACTTGCTGCCTGGGATTGGAGGAAGGGTGACACAAGCACTAAGTTGGCTACCCCGGCTGGTGTCTCATTAGGTTGCATGCACCCCAAGTCCACTGGCTCTCAGCCCAGCACAGCACCCGCACTTGCACAGGAATTGCAATCTATGTGGCTTAAATGCCTTCTAAGTTCATTTAGGACCCCAGAGTGCTTTAGCCAGTGTCGACAGAGTGCTTTAGCTGGTTTAGCCAGAACTCAGGTTCTGACCACTGGAATGGACAATTCTGGCTAGGGCTGATCTAAATAATTCCTCTGTGGGTGCTGCCTGAATACTTCCATGTGTTGCTTTTCACTGTGACAACCATCACTGCATTCCAGTGCAAAGTTCCACAATCACTGCACTCCCCCGACTCCTTCACTCAAACACATAGATTCTCTCTCCGTGCCACGCTGTGATGCTGAGAGTTGAAGGAAGGATGACATTGGCAATTCAAAACTGTCTTTCCTATACTCTTCAGTGTCTCTTTCTTTGATAAAATGTTAAAACCATGTACTGTGGCTGCTCATCTGAATTTTGGTTCTTATATAGGTGCTTTCTTGTGTGGATAGTTGTTCAATAATTTGGTGCTCCTGCAAAGGGGACAATTCCTGGAAGGTTCTGTTTAGCTATCTTGCTCCACGTCCAATTGCAAAATCCATTTTCTTTTTAATTTAAAGATACTTGTAGATTTCTGAGATAGAAGCATTCTCCCTAATGTAATAGTATTTCATTCAAATTTAAGATTCTCTCTTCCTAGAGTCCAGATTTGTTTTGAGTGAAAAACACATTTTGATATTCAAGGATGTGGAGAAGTAGGAACCCTTTTGCACTGTTTGTGGGAGTGTAAGTTAGTTCAACCACTGTGGAAGAGAGCGTGGAAATTCCTTAAGGATCTAGAACCAGAAATACCATTTGATCCAGCAATCCCATTACTGGGTATATACCCGAAGGATTACAAATCATTTTACTTTAAAGACACATGCACACGTATATTTATTGCAGCACTATTCACAATAGCAAAGGCTTGGAACCAACCCAAATGCCCATCAATGATAGACTGGATAAAGAAAATGTGGCAAATATACACCATGGAATACTCTGCAGCCATAAAAAAGGGCGGGTTCATGTCCTTTGCAGGGACATGGATGAAGCTGGAAACCGTCATTCTCAGAAAAATAACACAAGAACAGAAAACCAAACACCACATGTTCTCACTCATAAGTGGTAGTTGAAAAATGAGAACACATGGACACAGGGAAGGGAACATCACACACTGGGGCCTGTCATGGGGTGGGAGGTTAGGGGAGGGATAGCATTAGGAGAAATAATGTAGATGATGGGTTGATGGGTGCAGCAAACCACCGTGGCACATGTATACCTATGTAACAAACCTGCACGTTCTGCACATGTATCCCAGAACCTAAAGTATAATAATAAAAAAAATTATTTAAAAAACCCTCATTCTTGACACTGTAAGTCCCTGTAGCTATTGCACCTGTTCTCTTCTCTACTTTAAAATAAAACTTTCACAATGACATATTCCTCTTCTACTTAAAATAATTTTTTTCTTAATATCTCCAGTGTCTCCCCTTCCATGGTCTGCACCACTTCACAAAAAGTCAGAAGCAGCAGCCATTGCAACATCCATATACACATACAAACTTTGAGTAGTTGTCAAAGTAATGTGCCATATATAGTACCATATATATTTGTTAACCACTTAACATGTGCAAAATAGTAGTACTCCTTTATATTTTTTATCTTTGCTTGTCATTAATGAAGTTTTTTTTAATCCTGTGCCTCTCACATAATATTTTCCTATAAGCTTTGTGATTTTATTTGCACAAGTTTGCATAAAAATTTTTCAGGAATGCATATGTCTGTAACCGAAGAACTGTCTACACTTACAACACTCTCATTATGCAAACTCATGGGTCTTTTCAGTTTTTGAAAATAATTGTTAGTTTTTTATTTAAATAATAGTCATTTTATGTTGTTTTGTTAATTTTCTTCAGAGATGTCTGTTAAACATATTCAGAAAATGAAAATTAAATGACTTAAATTAAATCACCTTTAAAATGCATAGGAACATCAAATACAAACAGAAGAAAATAATTAAAACAACCATCATATAGTAAGTAATATTGACAATTTTTTATAATTTATTTAAAAAAATTGTAAGTGTACTCACAATTAAATACATTATTAATATTTGAATACAATATCTATTACTAGGAAATTACCCTATGATATTATAATGCATATGACTTGATTATACATTCATTATAAAATGTTTAGATATTTTGAATACACTACTGAGCACCAGTAAAGTTCTTCAAATTTAAATTTGCTTTATATTTTCAAAACATATAGGATCTCCCTCTCATAGAGGTAAAAGTTTCCCAAAATAATGCAGCTAGTCAAGAAATTAGCAAGAATTTATGCTTACATTTGTCAAATTTCAGTATTTATTATTTTCTTCATTTTGTGACATCATGTTTTATTTAAAGCAATAATTCAATAAATCAAGTAGCCTATATTATTACAATCATTTTGGATATTAAAAATTTTAAAAACTAAACATTTAATATTATGTAAATGCTGCATAAAAATTAAAACAGTAAAATCACTGTTAAAATTATATCCTGTGCACACATTATAGAAATATTCAAATTGTTTATGCCGTAGTAAACGTAAAGAAAAAAAGATTTCTAGCTTCAGTCTACAGACTACACTAAAGCAGACAAATATTAAATAAATTTACGTGTATGTAAAGTTACAAATAGATGGCATTACATAAAGTTTTAAACTGGTAGTGTAAGGTACAAAAACAATTTTTCAAGATGAATAATCTAGAAGTTGGCATTCTGCAAAACTTTATGCAAATCAGCTACAGTGATGTAAATTAAAGCAATGAAACCTAATAGAAGTTTAAGATAGTCAAGGGGTTCTTTGAAACTAATGAGAACAAAGATATAACATACCACAATTTCTGGGACACAGCTAAGGCAGTGTTAAGAGGGAAACTCATAGCACTAAATGTCCACATCAAAAAGTTAGAAAGATTTCAAATTAACAACCTAACTTCAGAACTGAAAGAATTAGAGAAACAAGAACAAATCAACCCCAAACCTAGCAGAAGATAAGGAAAAGAAAAAATCAAAGCTGAACTAAAAGAAATTGAGTCCCCCCAAAAATTCAAAGGATCAATGAATCCAGGAGTTGGTTTTCAGAAATAATTAATAAAATAGATAGGCTACTAGCTAGACTAATAGAGAAGAAAAGAGAGAAAATCCAAATAAACACAATTAGAAATGGCGAAGGAAATGTTACCACTGATGCCACAGAAATAAAAACCACCATCAGAAACTACTATGAACACCTCTATGCCCAAAACTGGAAAACCTAGATGAGATGGATAAATTCTTCCCAAGTCAGAACCAGAAAGAAATTGATTCCCTGAACACGTCACCACCAGCTTCCAAAATTGAATCAGTAATAAACAGCACACCAAGCAATATAAGGTAAGGGCCCGATGAATCCACAGTCAAATTCTACCTGATGTACAAAATAAAAAAGGTGGTACCATTTTTACAGAAACTATTTCAAAAATTAAGGAGGAGGGACTCTTCCCCAACTCATTCTATGAAGCCAGCATCATCTTAATACCAAAACCTGGCAGAAACACAACACAAAAAGAAAATTTTAGGCCAATAATCTTGATGAACATTAATGCAAAAATTCTCAAGAAAATATGCAAACTGAATCCAGCAGCACATCAAAAAGCTAATTCACCACAATCAAGTAGGCTTTATCCACAGGACGTAAGGTTGGTTGAACATAAGCAAATTAATAAATGTGACTTATAACATAAACAGAAGTAAATACAAAACCACATGTTTATCTCAACAGATGCAAAAAAAAATAAAATTTAACATTCCTTCATGTTAACTCTCAATAAACTACATATTAAAGGAACATGCCTCGAAATAATAAGAACCATCTATAACAAATCTACAGACAACATTATACTGAATGGGCAAGCACTGGAAGAATTCCCCTTGGAAACCAGCACAAGACAAGAATGCTCTCTCTCACTACTTCTATCCAATACAATATTGGAAGTCCTAGCCAGAGCAATGAGGCAAGAGCAAGAAATAAAGGCCATGGAAATCGGCAGAGAGGAAGTCAAACTATGTCTGTTTGCAGATGACATGATTCTATATCTAGAAAACCCAATAATCTCGGCCTAAAAGCTCCTCCAGCTGATAAACAACTTCAACAAAGTTGCAGGATACAAAATCAATGTATAAAATTCACTAGCGTTCCTATACACCAACAAGAGCCAAACTGAGAACCAAATCAGAAAGGCAATCCCATTCACAATTTCCACAAAAGGAATAAAATGCCTTGGAATACAGCTAACCAGGGAGGTGAAAGAGCTCTACAATGAGATTCGCAAAACACCACTCAAAGAAATCAGAGAAGACACCAACAAATGGAGTAACATCGCATGCTCATGGATAGGAAGAATCAATATGATTAAAATGGCTATATTGCCCAAAGCAATTTAAGTATTTAATACTGTATCAAACTACCGATGACATTCTTCACAGAGCTAGAAAAAAAGTACTTTAAAATTCATATGGAACCAAAAAGAGCGTGAATAGCCAAGGCAATCCTAAGAAAAAGAACAAAGCTGGAGGCATCGTGTTACCTGACTTCAAACTGTATTATGAGGCCACAGTAACCAAAACAGCGTGGTACTAGTACAAAAACAGGCACATAGGCCAAGGAAACAGAATAGAGAGCTGAGAAACAATGCTGCATATCTACGACCATGTGATCTTCCACAAAGCTGACAAAAACAAGCAATGGGTAAAAAAGACACTTTGTTTAATACATAATGCTGAGATGACTGGCGAGGCTATTGCAGGAGATTGAAACTGGGCCACTTCCTTACATCATACACAAAAATCAACTCAAGATGAATTAAAAACTTAAATGTAAAACCAAAAACTATAAAAACCCTGGAAGACAACCTAAGAAACACCATTCTGGACATAAGAATGGGCAAAGATTTCATGACAAAGATACCAAAAGCAATCACAAAAGAAGGAAAAATTGGCACGTGGGATCTCATTAAATTTAAGAGCTTCTACACAGCAAAAGAAACTATCAACAGAGTAAACCAATAACCTATAGAATGGGAGAAAACATTTGCAAAGTATGCAACAATAAAGTCTAATATCCAGCATCTATAGGAAACTTAAGCAAATTTACAAGAGAAAAAATAAACCATTAAAAAGTGGGCAAAGGACCTGAACAGACACTTCTCTGTTGTCTTAGAAGACATATATGCAGCCAACAAGAATATGAAAAAAAGCTCAATAACACTGATTATTAAAGAAACATAAATCAAAACCACAATGAGATACCATCTCAAACCAGTCATAATGGCTATTACTAAAAAATAAAAAAGTAACAGATAATGGCAAGGTTGCAGAGAAAAGGTAACACTTATACACTGTTGGTGGCAGTGTAAATTAGTTCATCTATTGTGGAAAGCAGTATGACAACTCCTCAAAGAGCTAAAAGCAGAACTCCCATTCAACCCAGCAATCTCAAAACTGGGTATATACCTGAAAGAATATAAATTATTCTACCATAAAGTCATACATACTCATATGTTCATTGCAGTACTATTCACAATAGCAAAGTCGTGGAATCAACCTAAATGTGCATCAATGACAGATTGGATTAAGAAAATGTGTTACATAAACTGCATGGAATACTATACAGCCATAAAAGTAACAAGATCATGTCTTTTGTGGGAACATGGATGGAGCCAAAGGCTATTATACTTAGCAAACTAACACAGAAACAAAAAAGCAAATACCACGTGTTCTCACTTACAAGTTGGAACTAAATGATAAAAACTTATGAACACAAAGAAGAAAACAACAGACCTGGGGTCTATTTGAGGGTGAAGGGTGGGAGGAGGGAGAGGAGCAGAAAAGATAACTTTTGGGTCCTGGGCTTAATACATGAATTATGAAATAATATGTGCAGCAAAGACCTGTGATATGAGCTTACCTGTGTAACAAATCTTCACATATACCGTGAAACCTAAAATAAAAGTTAACAAAAAGAAAAAAAGAATCAGTTCACCCACTAACCATGTCACATAAGACACAATCACAGTCTTAGACTTTCTTCCCAGAATCATATTGCAAGAGAAGCTAGGGCTCCCTCCACAGTGACTGTTGATTGTAGATCATGCCACTGACATGGAGTAACAGCAATCACAAAATTTGAACCATTGCCCTCCAAACATGTCATGCAAGGAGCTATGCTACCCTGTCCATGAAGGAGAAGATGGAACCTGTCACAATCTACTGATGTCCTCTGTATTCCTTTTAGATTCCAGCCTCTGATGAAGCCAGGAGATAGAGTGGTGGCCCTCTAGTCATGCATCTTAAAAGTCACTTGGTCCAAAAGTCAGAGTCCTCTGTAGAAATTTGATCCTCTCTAGAATCTGATCTAGAAATATACTCCTCCTAGATGTCTGTGCATTCCTTAGAATGTAGTGGGGAATAGGAGACCCATACCTGTTCTCATGATTCTATTTACATGCCGGATATATATTTAAAATAACTATAGTACTGTACTTTAAATTTTTAAAAGTCAAAAAAGGATTAATTTTACTAAATAATTATAACATGTAGGTGATAAACTGAATATAGTCATAGTTGCCTTGAATTATGGCTAAAATTCTATTTCACCGTAGACATTTATATGAATGCATAAAACTAGATTTGTATATATTATAGTTAAAATTATGATTAGCCTAAACTTGCAAATGTAATTATTTTACAACTGGAGATTATTGTTTATTAATCAATTTTTTAGAGATTTTAGAGTTTGTATGTTAAAATATTAAAAGTAGCTTAAATTCTACAGCTTTGTCATGCTAAGCTTTGTTATTATTGAAGCTTTATACTAAAATAATTCTGATAAAATATGCATCCTGGTAGAAGGAAATGCAGATGGTTTTGTTTGAAAATCAGTGTCATTGGAGAAATGTTGCAGATTGACAGTAAAATGTGTTGATAGAATAATAACCAGTTGACTAGCTTTACTGAGCAAATTAAAAAAATGATGATAGAGAACTAAGAACTCTCATTATTTATTATTTTTTGCACAGGATATTAATGAGTGAAGTATTTCATGCATATGATTGTGCATGTATAACACATAAGCATGTCTGCTTTATCACAATTGAAATAAGAATCATATATAACTCCTCGCTTTATTATGAGGGCTTTATTTAACTTCTTCATGCTTCTTGTGTTTGAACATTTTTTCAATCTTGAAAAGGTATGTGCTATCCTATGAATTGCTGCTTATCATATTGAACAATCTAATAATAACTCTATGTATATTTGAAGATTAACAACTATTTGTACAACATTGTGTAAGACTCAGTACATAAAATAACTTCAGGGATAGATTATGAAATTATCATTTCCTCTAATAAATTTTACATTTGTCACTATTTTGACTTGAGGGTGAATCCTTTTTATACTTTTATATAAACATATCTGGAAAAAGTTATAAGAATCTTTAGACAACAAACTTTGGGTATGGAAAATACTTTTGTTTCCAGCCATTATAGAATAATGAAGTCTAGACTGTCCTCCCACCATATGCAACAACAACAACAACAACAACAAAAATCCTGGAGAAAATATATGAAACAATATTTTACACACATTAGGGAGAAAAGGTCAGTTATGAGATCCATAAAAAGAATAATTGAACAGGGTTAGTTATAAAGTCACTCTGGCTTTCTTTCTGAGGACACTCTTTAGATTTCGGTGCACAGATGGGGAATGGAGCAGAGAAACATAGTTTTGATGAGGAGGTGCAGAGGTCAGAATTCAAGGGATCTAAGGTGGCTGGAAATTGAAGGCAGAATGCCAGACAGAAGGGAGCCACTCTGAGAAAGAACTTGAGACATCTGCATAGAGGACAGCTTGGGTCTCTGGCTAATAGTAAACTGAACTGTGTAAGGTGGTATTTTATGAAGCCAGTCAAAAGCAGCAATGGGGGGAGAATAAATAGCAGTGAGGAAAAGCTAAAAAAAATCCCAGATACCACGTAGGACAGGGAGACAAGCAAGTTCTGACTAGGCATCATGGAGAGATTGTGTTAAAACCTGGAGGTTTTAGTAGAGAACTGAAAAAGGTCACTCTTATAGTAATAGTGAATTAGCCTTAAATTTAAGGCTATTCTATGGAGTGCTTAGGGTTTTCTAAATATGTGATAGTGTCATCTGAACACATCCATAATTTTACTTCTTTTTCAATTTGTATGTCTTTTATTTGTTAGAAGTAATGAACAAATTCAGTAAAACTACAGAGTACAAAATCAGCATACAAGAATTAGTTGAGTTTATATATCCCAACAATGAACTATCCAGAAAGGAAACTCAGGAAACAATTTCATTCACTACAGCATCAAAATAATAAAATACTTGTGATTAAACTTAACTAAGAAGGTGAAATACTTGTATACTGAAAAATCTAAAACATTGATGAAAGATTAAAGACACATAAATGGAAAGATATTATGTGTTTATAGATTATGAGATTAAATATTTTTAAAATGTCCAAACATCCTAAAGTGATCTAGACATTCAAAGAAATCTGCATCAAAATTCCAGTGCCACATTTTACAGAAAGAGAAAAAATTATAAAGCTTATATAAAACCAAAAATGACCCTGGAGAGCAAAAAAAAAAGAAAAAAAGAACAAAGCCAGAGGCATTACACTCCATTATTTTGAAATATAAACCCACACAAATACAGTCAACTGACCTTTGCCAAGGGTGCCAAGGATACACAATGAATGGAGAAAAG
Organism: Homo sapiens; assembly: GCF_000001405.40. Classification (NCBI taxonomy): domain Eukaryota; kingdom Metazoa; phylum Chordata; class Mammalia; order Primates; family Hominidae; genus Homo; species Homo sapiens. The sequence goes on from NC_000013.11 coordinate 83,258,186, forward strand.
ATAGTTTCTACAATGAATGATGTTGGAAAATTTTGATGTCTACATGAAAAAGAATGATAGTGGACACTTTACTATACTCAAAAATCAATTCAAAAAGGATTAATTACACACGTGACCTTAAAATATAAAACTCGTAAAAAATATATAGGAAAGAATCTTCTTCATGTTGGTCTTGGCCATGATTTTTTCAATACAATACTGAAAGCACAGGCAACAAAAGCAAAAATAAGAGTACATCAAAATAGAAAGCTTCCGCACAGCAAATGAAACAATCAAAATAGTGAAAAGGGATCACATGGAATGGTAGAAAATATTTGTAAACCATATATCTGATAAGTAGTTGTTATCTAAAATAAAGAACTTTTCTAAATCAACATTAAAATAAACCATACATTTTTTTTTAAATGGGCAAAGGACTTAAATAGAAGTCTTAAACAAGACATACAAATGGGCAGCATGAGTATGAAAAGATGCTCAGCCTCACTAATCATCAGGGTAATGCAAATCAAAACTACAATGAGATATCACCTACCACTTGTTAGGATAGCTGTTATTTTAAAATAAGAGAGAAAGAGAGAGAGAAAGTTTTTATGAGGATATATTGAAATTGGGACTCCCCTGTATGGTTTTTGGAAACGTAAAATGGCACAGCCCCTATAGAAAATAGTTTAGAGTTTCCTAAAATATCTATAAATAAAACTACTTTATGACCCAGCAATCTCACTTATGGGCAATAATCCAAAGTAATTAAAATCAGGATCTCAAAGAGTTATCTGTACTCCTATGTTTATTGCAGGATTATTGCCAACAACAAAGATATAGAAACAATCTGAATGTCCATTGCTGGGTGACTGGATAAAGAAACGTAGTATATGTATACATATATGTACAATGAAATATTATTAAGCCTTAAAATGAAAGAATTGTGCCATATGCTACAACATGGATGAAATGTGAGGACAGTATGCTCAGTGAAACAAGCCAACCACAGAAGAATAAATGGGTGATTTATTCACACATATGTGAATGGTTCCATTTATATAAAATAGTCAACAAAATGATCTGTAGTTTTAATCCTATCCCTATCAAAGTACCAGTGATAGTCTTCACAGAAATAGAAAATGAAAACTAAAAACATATGGAACCACAAAAGACCCCAAATAGCCAAAGCCATTTTCAGCAATAATAACAAAATTGGTGCCATCACACTACCTGACTTTAAAACATACTACAAAGCTATCACAACCAAAGCATCATGGTACTGGCATAGAAACAGAAACGTAGGCCAATATAAAATCCGTGAATATATCCATGCATCTACAGAAAACTGAGTTTAGGTAAAAGTGTTAAGTACACAGAATGGAGAGAGAAAAGCCCTTTCAATAAATGATGCTGAGAAAACTGGATATCCACATGCAGAAAAATAAAATCAGGCCTTTTTTCTTACCACATACGAAAGTCAACAAAAATTGAATAAAGACCTAACTGTAAGGTCAAAAACTACATAACTATTGGAAGAAAACATAGTAGAAAAGCCCCATGAAATTGGTCTAGGCAAACATTTTTTTGGATAAAACTCCAAAAGCAGATGCAACAAAAGCAAATATGGACAAATGGGATTATATCAGCAAATGAAACAATCAACAGAGCAAAGAGACAACCTGTAGAATGGGAGAATATATTTGTCAACTTTATATCTGATAAGCAGTTAATGTTCAAAATACATAAGCAACAAAACAACTAAACAACCACAAAATAATCCAGTTAAAAATGGGCAAAAGACTCAGATATATCTAAGAGAAGACATACAAATGGCCAATGGATATATGAAAAGAAAAATGCTCAATATCACTGATCATTAGAAAAATGCATATCAAAACTATAATGAGTTATCACCTCATTTTAGTTAGAATGGCTACTATTGAAAAATCAAAAGAAACATATACTGGAAAGGAAATACTAACAAAGGGATCCCTTACTCACTGCCTGCTTGTAGGAATGAAAATTTAGTATAATGATGATGGAAAACACTATATAGCTTCTTCAAAAAATTAAATATAGAACTACTATGTGATCCAGCAATCCTACTACTTGGTAGCTATCTAAAGGAAAGAAAATCACTATGTGGAAAAGATATTTTCACTCCTATGTTTATTGCGGCATTTTTTACATTGGCAAAGATATGAAATCAACCTAAGAGTCCATCAACAGGTGAATAGATAAAGAAAACATGGTATATTTACACAATTGAATACTATTCAGCCACAAAAATAAATGAAATCCTGTCATTTGTGACAACATAAATGCACCTGAAGGACATTATGTTAAGTGAAATAAGCTAGGCATAGAGGGATAAATACCACATGATTTTATTTATATGTGAAATCTAAATAAGCTGAATTCAAAGAAGTAAAGAGTAGAATAGTGGTTAACAGAGGCTGGGGAGGAGAAGGGGAAGGGGAGAGACTGGTCATCAGGACAAAGCTACAGTTACATATGAAAAATAAGTCCTGGCATTCTATTCCATAGTAAGATAAATAGAGTGACTAATATTATATATTGTATATTAGTATTGCATAATCATACAATACTAAATAGCTTTTTGTATATTTCAAAATAGCTTTAAGAGAGCTTTTTGAATGTTCTCATTGCAAATAAATGATAAATGTTTAAGATGATGGATATGCTAATTACCCTTATTTGATTTTTACACAATAAATGCGTATATTGAAATATGGCAAATACCTCATAATTATATACAATTATTATATGTCAATCATAAAACAAAACAAGAGAGGGAGAACTACTATAAACTTAGATTTATCCTAAAGTTGGTATATCTCATATTATTTCCACACTAAAAAAGGTAGTCTATTCTAACCACACCTGAAGAAACTTAAAAGTCAGATTCTAATGGATCCAATAAGAAATTTCCCCAATTTGATTAAAAATACAACGTTGAGAGGTTTATAACTTTTCCACTAAAATTCAGAAATGGACAACTTGCCTGCTTTCTATATTCTATTCAGTTTTGTACTGCAGGTCCTTGAAAGTGAAATAAGTTAATGAAAATAAATGCACTACATACACATCTACAATAATTTTTTAAAGTTTGTCTACATATAATAATATATTCTGTAGAAAAAAGTAATAAGCAAAAAAGCTACTGAAAGGTAAATTGAGCACATATTCAATGTAAAAGGTGAGTACTAAAACGTCAATTGCATTTCCATATGCTGGCAATTAATAATTGGAAATTGAAACAAAATCTGCTGTTGAAATAATATTGACAATGGAAACACACACACACACAAATAACAAAATGTGTGCAAGTCCTGTACATTGAAAACTACAGGACACTGCTGAAAGAAACTGAGGAAGATTATAAATGAAGACATATGCAATTTTGATGAATTAGAAGGCTCCTTTTTAACAACTTTATTGAGGTATATTTCCATACCATAGAACTGACACAACTACAAGTACAATCCAATGGTTTTCCAAATCTTCATAGACTTGTACATATACCATCAAAATTAATTATAAATCATTTTATCATCCCACATTAACTAGCAATAACTCCACACTTTTCATAACCCCTAACTGTCCCTTACTCCCTTTTCTAATTTCAGTAATAAGCAGTAAATTTCTATCTTTCTCTATAAATTTGCCTATTCTGGACATTTCATGTAAATGAAATCATACAATATTTGATTTTTTTGTGACCGGATATTTTTGTTAACCAATGTTTTCAAGGTTCATCCATGTTGTTTCTTATATCAGTACTTCATTTTTTTATTTTTTTAAAATTATTTAATTGTATGGATACACCACATTTTATGTATTTATTCACTTAGCTGTTAGGAATGCTGTTGCCATGATCATTCATGTACAAATGTCATGGGTAACTTCTTCCAATAGTCTTGGGTATATACCTAGGAGTGGAATTGCTGGATGGTATATTAACTTAAGTTTAGCCTTTCGAGTTGTTGCCAGACTTATTTTTCCAAAGTGACTGTATTATTTGGTATTACCACCAACAGTGCATAGTGTTTCCACTTATCCACTTCCTCAGTAACAGTTATCTTTTCTTTTGATAATAGCCATCTTAGTGAGTGTGAGGTGGTATCTCACTCTGGCTTTGATTTTCATTTCCTTGATGGCTAATATCTTTTGCATTTCTTTCCACAAAGTTTTGTACTTTCCGGAGTATATGCTTTGCACTTCTTTGGTTAAATGTATCCATAGTTACTTTATTCTTTGTCCTGCTATTATAAATGAAATTGTTTTCTTAATTTGTTTTCAGATTGTTAATTGCATGTAGAAATGTAGTTGGCTTATTTATATTCACCATGTACCTTGTGACCTTTCCTAAACTCATGTATTAATTCCAATAGAATTTTAGTGGATATTTAACATTCTCTATATCCAAGATTATGTTACCCGCAAACAGAGCTATTTTATGTCTTATCAATCTTGATGACTTTGATTTCATGTTTTTACTGAGTTGCCCTGGCTAGAACCTCTTACAAAACTTTGGCTAGCACTTGTGAAAGCAGGGACAACCTTGCCTTGTTATTAAACTTATGGGCATGATTTGAGGCTCCCCAAAACAACTACAGTAGTAACATTAAAGATCACTGATCACAGATCATCATAACAGATACAATTATTTAAAAGTTCGAACTTTGCAAGAATTACAAAATGTGTCACACAGCTAGTGATATGGTTTGGCTGTATCGCCACCCAAATCTCATCTTGAACTGTAGTGCCCATAATCCCCACGTGTTGTGAGAAGAACCCAGTAAGAGCTTTAATCATGGGAGCAGTTACCTCATGCTGTTTTCATGATAGTGAGCGAGTTCTCACAAGAACTGATGGTTGTATAAGGGGCTTTACCCCCTTTCATCTAGGCAATTCTCCTTCCTGTTGCCATGTAAAATAGGACGTGTTTGCTTCCCCTTCTGCCATGATTGTCAGTTTCCTGAGGCTTCTGCAGCCATGCTGAACAACTGTAAGACAATTAAACCTCTTTCCTTTATCAATTACCCAGTCTCAGGTATGTCTATATTAGCAGCATGAGGACAGACTAAAACAATAAATTAGTACTGATAGAGTGGGGAGCTGCTATAAGAATATCTGAAAATGTGGAAGCAATTTTGGAACTTGGTAACAGGCAGAGGTTGGAATAGTTTACTGGACTCAGAAGAAGACAGAAAAATATGGGAATGTTTGGAACCCCTAGAGACTTGGAGGGTTCAGAAGAAAGGAATATGTAGGAAAGTTAGGCCTTCCTAGAGAGTTGTTGAATGGCTTTGACCAAAATGATTATAGTGATATGGACAATGAATTCCAGGCTGAGGTGGTCTCAGATGGAGAGGAGGAACTTGTTGGGAACTGCAATAAAGGTCACTCTTGCTATGCAAATAGAATGGTGGCATTTTGCCCCTACCCTATAGATCTGTGGAACTTTGAACTTGAGAGAGATGATTTAGGGTATGTGGTGGAAGAAATTTCTAAGTGGCAAAGTGTTCAAGAGAACGCAGAGCAAAAAAGTCTGGAAACTTTGCAGCCTGATGATGCAATAGGGGAAAAAAAACACTTTCTGGGGAGAAATTCAAGCTGACTGCAGAAATTTCTATAAGTAATGAGGAGGCGAATGTTAATCACCAAGACAATGGGGAAAATGTCTCCCGGGCGTATCAGAGACCTTCATGGCAGCCCCTCCCATCAGAGGCCTAGAGACCTAGGAGGAAAAAAATGGTTTTGTGAGCCAAATCCAGAGCCTCCCCACCATACTCTGTGCAGCCTCAACACATGGCACCCTGCATCCTATCTGCTTCAGCTATAGCCATGGCTAAAAGGGCCCAAGGTGCAGCTAATGCCATTACTTCAGAGGGTGCAGGACCCAAGCTTTGGCAGCTTCCATGAGGTGCTGGGTTTGCATGTGCACGGAAGACAAGAATTGAGGTTTGGGAACCTCTGCCTAGATGAAAGAATTTATGGTAACACCTGATTGTCCAGGCAGAAATTTGGTCCAAGGGTGGGGCCCTTGGCGAACCTCTGCTAAGGCAGTGTGCAAGGGAAATGTGGGGTTGCAGTCCCCACACAGAGACCCCACTGGGGTACTGCCTAGTGGAGCTGTGAGTAGAAGGCCACTATCCTCCAGACCCCAGAATGGTATATCCATCAAAAGCTTGCACCATGCGCATGGAAAAGCTGCAGTTACTCAACACCAGCTGTGAAACCAGCCGGGAGTGGTCTGTACCCTCCAAAACCACAAGGGCAGAACTGCCCAACACTGTGGGAGCCCACCACTTGCATCAGCATGACCTGGATATGAGGCATGGAGTCAAAGGAGATCATTTGGTAACTTTAAGATTTAATAACTGCCCTATTGAATTTTGGACATGTCTTGTCTTAGATGAGAATTAAGGCTTAAACTTTTGATGTAATGCTAGAATGAGTTAAGATTTTGGGGGACTGTTGGAAGAGCATAATTGTATTTTAAAATGTGAGATCATGTGATTTGAAAGGGCCAGAGGTGGAATGATATGGTTTGGCTTTGTCCCCACTGAAATGTCCTCTTGAATAATCCCCACATGTTGCAGGAGGAACTTGATGGGGGTAATTTAATCACGGGAGCAGTTACCCTCATACTGTTCTCATGATAGTGAGTGAATTCTCGTAAGAGCTGATCGTTTTACAAGGATCTTTTCTCCCTTTTGGCTTGGCACTTCTCTTTCCAATCACCACGTGAAAAGATGTGTTTGCTTCCCCTTCCACCATGATTGTAAGTTTTTTGAGGCCTCCTCCACCCTGTGGAGCTGTGAGTCAATTAAACCTCTTTCCTTTATAAATTATCCAGTCTCAGGTATGTCTTCACTAGCAGTGTGAGAACAGACTAATATATGTAGAAAATGAGCATGTGCTGTTGGAAAACTGGTTCTGATAGACTTGCTTAATGCAGGGGTTGCTACAAAGCAATTTTTGATAAATGCAACATCTGTGATGCACAATTAATCAAATTCTATAAAAGGAGGTATGCCTGTATTATTATTGAAGTCTGTAATTACTATTGTTGCCTTGTCCTTTTCACCCTTTATTTATGTCAGTTTTGCCTTATGTATTACGGAGTTCTATTGCTAAGGATGTGTAGGTTTGTTGATAAATGTATCTTTTTTCATTATAAGATGTTTTTCTTTGCTCAAGTAATAATCTTCATCTTTAAGGCTGTTATGTAAGTACAGCTATTCCAGATTTCCTTGGGTTTCTTATTTATTTATTTATTTATTTATTTATTTATTTATTTATTTGAGAATGGGTCTTGCTCTGTCACTCAGACTGAAGCACAGTGATGCAATCTGGGCTCCCTGCAACCTCCATCTCCCAGGCTCCAGTGATCCCCACACCTCAGCCTCCCAAGTAGCTGAAACGACAGGCGCACACCACCATACGTGGCTAATATTTGTGTTTTTGGTAGAGACGGGGTGTTGACATGTTTCCCAAGCTGGTCTAGAACTGGTGAGCTCATGTGATCCATCCACCTCAGCTTCCCAAAGTGCATGGATTATACGCATGAGCCATTGTGCCCAGCCTTGGTTTCTTTTGGCTCCATGTTGCATATTATGCATTTTCCTATCCTTTTGCCTAGAACATCTTTGTATCATTAAATCTGAAGTGTGGCTCCTGTAGCACAAGGTTGAAACATATTCCGTTTTTTATTTGTTGTTTAAAACAATTTCAAAATCTTTACTTTTTATTGTATTTCTTGAACCATTTGCATTTAATGTTATTGATATATGTGAGTTTAGTTTGCTATTTTTATTTTTGATTTCTATACACCTCATTTTATTTTAAAAGACTTTATTTTTTATAGAGGTTGTAGGTTTCACTGCAAAATCAAGAGGAAGGTACAGAGATGCCCATATACCTGATACTCCCACACAAACATACCTCTGCCATTATAAATATCTTTCACCAGAGTGGTACAATTGTTAAAATTGATGAATCTACATAAACATATTATTATCACTCAAAGTCCACAGTTTACATCAGGGTTGACTCTTGGTGGTACCTTTATACCATTTTTGCTCCTCTATTATTTTACTGCTTTATTATTTCTTAAAATAATATATCCTGTTGTGTCATTTTAACTTCTTAAATTATATTTCACTATGTTTGTTTGAATCTTTTTCTTAGAGGTTAATCTTTAGCTTAAAATATACATTGTAAATTATCAGTTTCTGTTTTAGTTTTGTGCTAATGTAATTCTAATGAAATGCAAAAATGTTAATCCTATATAGGTCTATGTCTTTTTCCCTCTTCTGATACTGAAATTATTTATATATATAAAACTTATATATTCATTGCAAATTCAAAACTACATTGTTATGATTACTACTGTATAAAATTGTATGCCATTTAAAGAAGCTCAAATTAGAAACAATGCTTTTTAAAATTTACTTTTAATATTTACTTTTTTTGTTTCTCTTAATTTCTTCAGGCATATTTGAGTCAATATCTCAAACATTGTCATTTCCTCACTTCAATTCAGTTTTACTCCCACCACCTTCTTTGTGCTGTTTTTGCTAAATACATTGTATGTCTATCTATTATAAACTTAATAATACAATTCCAAACGAATTATTTTATACATTTGCTTTCCAAATTGGTTAAAGATAGAAGGAATAAATACACCTTCATACTGTCTTTCATAATTACATAATGGCTTGCCTTTACCAATGTTGAGCTACTTTTTTTTTTCTTATATGGAATTGATCAGTCTTGAATCATTTTATTTTAGCCTAAATAATCTTATCAAGTATTTTTTGGAAGGCAGATCTGCAGGCAACAAAATTTGGTTGTGTTTTTATTTTGCTCCCATTTTTGAAATATAGTTTTTCTGCTTTTTTTCCCCGAACTTTGTGTGTGTCAACTTAAAACCTTTTGTAGCTTCCATTATTTCTGATGAGATGTCAGTTGTAAATTTTATTGGGCTAACTTTTATGCAATCAGTGATTTTTGACTTCGTGCTTTCAAGATGTTTTCTTTGCCTTTCACTTTCAATATTTCCACACTCAGATATATCTGAGTCTGCATCTTTTTGCCTTGCTTGGAGATGTTTGAACTTCTTAGGTATGCCGATGAATGTTTTTCATCAGATGTGCATTTTCTGCCTTTATTCATTTGAATACTTTTTCTGATCTATTGCTGTGTTCATTCTTCATGAAACACCAAGAACAGTTATATTAGTGTGCTTAATGAAGTACCACATTTTTGCGAAGGCCCTGTTTCAAACTCCTTGGTTTATTTTTCTCTTTGTTGTTAAGACTGTTTAGTTTCTATTAATCTATCTTAATCTTTGCTGTTTTTTTCTTCTACAAGTACATTCTACTATTAATCCTCTCTAATAATTTTTTATTATATTATTTTTTAAAATTTTATTACTGTGGAGTTTTAATTTCGTTCTTCTTTATCATTCCCAACTCTCTGTTAATATACTCCATTTAATTGCACATTGCCATTATACCTTTCTTTACTTCCTTAAGCATGGCTCTTTTTAGTTAACGTACATATAATAGCTTTCTGAGATATTCATTTGTCTGTTAAATTTGACAACTAAGACTTCTCGGTGATAGTTATGGTTGACTATTTAATTTTTTTCCTTGTGTATGGTTTATACATTTCAGGACTTTTCTTTTTGTATTTGTTATAAATTTGTGTTGACAATTGGCCCTTTAAATACTGCTTTGTAGTAACTCTATACATTGACCCTCCCTTCTCCAAGACATATTATTTTTGGTGACTGTTTATACTTTCAGTTTCTTGGAGGGACTATATCAGTGACTTCTCCAGGCTATGCAGCCTCTGATGTTCTTCCTCAGAAGGCACAGCCTTGAGCATGCACACATTTCCTTGGGATGACAGTGGTTTTAGCAGAACTCTTTTGGGTTGTTTGTCTGATTTATTTGTAGCGGTGTCTCTCTTGTTGCTATCACACCCAACTGATAGCCATAACTAATTTTCAGTTGATTGTTCTATTGTTTTTAATAATAATAATAATACTCTGGGGAAATAAATTGCCCAACAGGCTGATCCAATTAAATGCAATCCTCTTTGCAGAGATAAACATTAGGTCTATTCTCTTTCAGATGACAGCAGGGCTCTTCTCATCTATTTCTTTCCCTGCTTGTCTCTGGTAAGTGTCTAAACAGTTTAAGGTTTAGCTTCCAAATCTCATGTTGCTATAAGCCTCCTTTTAATTACTTATCAACAAAACACTTATCATTTTCCACACCATGCTTAGGTCTGAATTGCTCCATGATCTTCAAATAAACACAGTTCCTTTACTGAGGACTTTGGAGCTTATGGTTTTCATGTTCGCCTCTCCCCTGAGCAAAACCTCTGTACCACCATTCCAGAGCTGAGCACGGGGATAGTGGCATGCTTATCTCAGAGTGGCAACCCTGTTATAAGAATGCTGAATTGGGGCAGTGGCCTCTTAACTCTTGGCATTTCTATTCTGGCATGAGCCATCCACCTTTAAAATGAGAATGTGAGAGGGCAATTAGCACTCCAGTATTATTTGCCTACCATGCCTGGGGTAGAGCTTTCATGGAAAAAACGGGGGTTGGATAGAGGAAGTGAGCCCCAGAATTCACAGCTGTTTTTTCTTGCTATAAGGTTCTGAAATTTCAAACTGGGGGAATGTGATAAATCTTGGTGGCCTGTCTTTCCCAGGGACTTGTCATAGTGCTAGAATGAAACCTGTGTACAGAGTGTGGCCTTTGTTCTTGTCTGCATCAACACATAGAGGAGGTTCATCATACTGAGCTGTGGCAAAAGAGAACAGGTCTTGGCTCAAGTGACATAGACTCCGGAAGCTCTTTCCCAACTTAGTGTACTTTCTTGAATAAATGTTTCTTCATTTTCTGTAGAACAACAGGATTTCCAGATATTTTAGCTTGTTTTATTATTACATTAATGTGTAGTGATGGTCATTTGGTTGGGGAGAGGCTCCATGCAGCTTCTCATGCCACCATTATGGAAAACATTCTCCAAGATTAAATCTATATTTTAGATGTCAGTAATATCTGCTCCAACTCAATTTTGTAGAAATTGACAAATTGATTCTAAAAGTAATGTGTAAACTTATAATAGAAACAACTAGAGTCGTCAAAAACTTTTAGGAAAAAAGGAAAAGTTGGAGTAATTACTCAATTTTAAGACTTGAAATTAAGTTTCAGTAGTCGAGGCAGTATGTTTTTGGTATAAGCATATGCATAAGACGGTATAACAGGATAAATGGTCTAGAAATAGATCCACAAAATATAGTCAACTTTTAAGTACTAAGGTAAGAGTTTTAAACAAATATTGCTAGAACAAATCAATATCCACTTGGAGCAAAATGAGTATCAACTGTTTTACTTATAATACACAAAATTAACAAGATATTGTGTATAAATCTAAATGAAAATGATGAAGCTATACTTTCTAGAATCTGACAAAGGAGAAAAGTTTAGTTACCTTAAAATACGCAAAGTTTTATGATATTACATGCATACAAAAAAAGAAACTTCTGCCCTTTGAAAGAGCTAAGAAAATGTAAAGGTGCGTTATGGATTTATTGATGATTTATAATTTAGTTGTAAGCTTTTTTCATATATTCTAAGACCATTTTTTTCAGATACATCTATTATTAATATGTCCTCCAAATCTGTGTGAGAAATTATTCAAAATGATACACATATGTTCTTAAAATTAAAATCTGTTCTTCAAAAAGGTGCCATTAAAATTGCTCAAATCAAATACTGGCACAAATGTGGAGAAAGATAAATTCTTGTACACTTTTGGTGGAAATGTAAATTAGTGCATCCATTATGAGAAACAGTAGGGAAGTTTCTCTAAAATTAAAAATAGAACTACCATATGATGCAGCAATCCTGCTACATATTCCAAGGAAATGATATCGGTGTGTCAAAGAGATATCTGCATTTCCATGTTCATTGCAGCACTGTTCACAATACCCAAGATACTAAATCAACCTAAATATCAATAGATAAAGAAAATGTGGTAAATATGCACAAAGGAATACTGTTCAGCCATAAAAATGAATGAAAGTCCTCATTTTTGGCAACATGAACAAACTTGGAGGACATTATGTTGAATGAAGTTAGCCAGACAGAGAAAGACAAATACTAAATGATCCCACTCATATAGGGAATCTAAAGAACTTGAATTCATAGAAGGAGTGAGTAGAACAGTGATTACGAGAAGCTGAGAAGGGTAGAGGACAGGACGGGAGAGGAAGAGATTGGTCACCAGGTACAAAGTTACAGTTAGACAGGACAAATAGGCTCTGGTGTTCTATTGCTCAGTAGGGTGACTATTGTTAATAATATTGTACTGTACATTTCAAAATAGCTAGAAGAGAGTATTTTACATGTTATCACCACAAAGAAATGATATATTTATGAATATGCTAAATACCTTAATTTGATCATGTGTATCAAAACACCAAAATGTACCCTATTCATCTGTATAATTGTTGTGTCAATTGGAAAAAAAAATAAGTGAAATGAGACTACTAGAAAAGCTTTGTCATTTAAAAATAAAGAATCATTAATTCAGAACAGGCCAAAAAAAAATAGCTACTCTATGTCTTGAATGCAGATGTTTATAATAATAGCCCCAAACTGGGGAAAGGCAAACCATATGTTCATCAATTGATGAATGAGAGAACATCATCCAATGTATTTGTAATATGGAGCAAAACTAAGCAATTTTTAAAAAATAACTTAGAGATATATTCAATAGCATGAATTAATCTCAGCAGCATTATTCTGAGTCAAAGGATCCTTATGCAAATTAACAAATACTACTTTATTCTATTTATATGAAATCTTAGAATAATCAAAATTATGATAAATTAACGACAAAGAAACAGATCTTTGGTGGCTTGAGTCTGAGATGTGGAGGACTGACTCCAAAGTAAATGTTTTGTCACAGTGAAAACATCCTATATCTTCATTGTTATGGTGATTAAATGTTATTTATCAAAAGCATTTGTCAAAACAAATGGTACTCCACAATTAAGATGAGTACATCTTATGTATGTTGTATTTCAATAATGATAATTTACAAAGAAAAAAATAAAAAAGTAAAAATAGCAAAAATTCTATCTATATTGCTCATGGATTTACTCAGTGAGAAAATGAAAATGATAGTTATTGGATACATTACCATGTCAACAATATCTAATCACTATGATTAGAAATTCCACTGATAGAGATAAAATTAAAGACCATGCAATTTGGTGTGAGGAAGTGAATATGAACATAGGAATTAAGAACACTTACACAAACACTAAAAATATAATTATTGAACTTTGAGTGAGTAAAGGAGTCATAGGATGACTAACATGTTACAGACTTTTTTTTTTTTTTTTTTTTTTTTTTTTTGAGACAGATGCTCGTTCTGTGGCCCAGGCTGGAGTGCAGTGGCATGATCTCGGCTCACTGCAACCTCCACCTCCCAGGTTCAGGCGATTCTCCTGCCTCAGCCTCCTGAGTAGCTGGGACTACAGGCACATACCACCATGCCTCGCTAATTTTTGTGTTTTTGGTAGAGATGGGGTTTCACCATATTGGCTGGGCCACTCTCAAACTCCTAACCTTGTGATCCGCCTGCCTCGGCCTCCCAAAGTGCTGGGATTACAGGTATGAGCCACCCTGCCGGGCCAATGTTACAGACTCTTTAATCAGATTTCTCTTCTCCCTTTCTCCAAATATATAACCTTAAAATAAAAAGCCAAAATGAGCTCTGAAACTTCAATGTTCTTAAACACAATAAATATAAAAATAGTCAACATTAACAAATTATAAAACAGCAAGTTCACCATATTTGTATATAATTCAAAACATTTTCTTAAAACATATGATGATTTCAGTGAGCATATTGATTTCAAGAAACATAAATTGTTATTTCAAAATATATGTCAAAGTACATCGAATTATGATGAAATGTTCCTGCTCTGAAAGGCAAAACAAAGGGATTAGTTTTTATTTCAAACAGAACACTGTTCCATTCATTTTACTTATCAGGTCTAAACTATAATTCTTTGTTTTCAGTTTGGATGATCTCCCAAATTCAATGACCAACAGGGAAGTTTGTCACTGTATTTTGAAACCCAACTTAAAACCTTTAGAAATGAAAAGTTATTTTTGCACTAAAGGGGGAAAATGAAAAAAATTATTAATTCAATCAAGAACAACTTTTGAAACTGAATCATAATTGTGATTGTTTATTATATCAGTATTTCCATTTTTAAAATTCTTTATTTTAATTTTTGTGGTATTTTATCCAACCAAATGTCCAAAATCTTTTTAAAGAAATGACAATAAGGTATATAATAGTTTATTTTAATATTTTAAAAAAGTAAAAGAACATAAGGTACATTTGCTCTTGCATTCAAAATAATAAATGCTTTCTTAAAAATTATATTTCAAAGGTACTTAAGACTTGGGAATAATTATCTTGCCTTACATGGAAACAGCAACTTCAAAAAAACCTTTTTTCAGCAATCCCCACAGCTGTCTTCTCCACACTGAATACTAAATACCATTCTGCCACTATGGCATACGTACAGCAGCATTAACACACTGCTTTCTGACTAGCAATATTATTCATGATCTTTCCCAATTAGTTGTGCTTAAAATGAAGACAGCTGTTAAACTGGATTCTTTCATCATATACATATATTATTAAATTTGCTCCAAAATGGCAATAAAACTGTGAGTGATTTCCAAGGTGGAAGAGTTTCTTAAGAAAACAAACACACACAGAAAACAAGCATTTAGTGAGCACTTTCTCTTAGCCAAGCATTTTGCTAAGCATATGAAAATAAATTACCTCTAATCCTCACAACAATACTTCAAGCCAGATATTTTGTGCATTTTAGAGAGGAAAATACTGAAGTGTCAAACATGAAGAAGGTTTCCCCAATTTTAAACAGCCAATATTGGCAAGAAAGGATGTATCCTCAGGCCAGCTGGACTTCAATGTCTAGGAAGTGACCACCATCCCTTGACCCTCCCCATTTCTTTCCTCATGAATGGCTTGAGAGCTTAAAACCAGAAATCGAGAGAAGAAGAAACAACCTAGTAAATTCAGATGCTCCGTATTTAGGAAAAATGGTGAAGATATTTATGAGATTGTGAATTCTATCAGAACTTGTTATCTTCTATTGCTCATTTAGAAATCAGAGAAAACATAGATTTCAAATTTGTAGTTGAGTATTGATGAAAATATTATTGTGTTTGTGGGTTACTGAAGGAAAAATTAATCATTTTCATCAAACGTCTAAGACGTTAAGATTCCAGGAAAATAATTAACTGAACAGTGAAGATATCAAACCAGATTGACAAAATTAAGTGTGTCACATTAGAAAATAGGTAGCTAATATTTATTATTGACATGCATGCAAGTAGATATTATCTACCTACATGCAGAACAAAATATTTCATTTCATGTTTAAAGCATATAACAGAAGTAAAAAAATGCAGTTAAATAATCTGTTTGCTATTAAGAATTAGCTTAAAAACAGAATTTAAAACATAAAATTAATAGCCAGATTAGAAACTTGGGTTTAACATGGCATATTTTGGAGATCAGAATTGTGCCACAGTATAAAACTTTTTATATGGCTGCTATAGTTCGTTACTGATAATTAATTAACACAATATACAAACATTTGGGAAATTGCCCTTATTGCTATCAATAATATAAAATATATTTTAAAGCTATTTTAGAGACAACAAATAAACATCTCAAATATTGATTTCTGAACACTTCACAAAACTTATTAAATTGCAATACCGAGTCTTTCAATTACAATTTCAAAGTCACTTCATTCTGTTATTATATAAATATAGTCATTATATAAATACTATTCTTCTTCATCTCCAATTTAGCAGGGAATAATCATGGGCTTTCTATGTGAATTATGAAAAAGCCCAGAATACCTAAGATATCATATTAATTTCTGGGAGTTTTGCCATCCTACAATAAGAAAATGCTAGGTAATATGTCAGCTGCTATTTTGGTATCAGGCAGCATTATATTTGATCTACTACTAAAATTTAAGACCTAAAAGAGTCTATTTAAATATATGGACCAAATGTATATTTTAAAAATCAAACATTTATTATTTTTTTCTGGCATGATAAAACATAGATAGTAATAATTTTTTTCTAGATATTAATGGCTTTCTATATATGTAGAGGAAATAATAATATCACAATTTGAACGGTGTTTTAACTTGCCATGTTCTTTCTCATCAAAATTTTAGCCTTGAGTACTTAATAAATAAACTCATCTACTATCCAATTGTAGATTTGGTACTTCCATTACTATCTCCTTCAGTAACCTTGTAAAAGATTGTGGGACATCATTAAACATGAATTATGAAAGCATCCTTTTAAAGATAACACAGGACTGCTATCAATTGAATATATGTAAAAAGAAGAACTAACAACTATCTTGTGGCTTAATATGATTTAATCATACTATGCAACATTTAGGGACAATTAATTGGTTCAAGACAGTCAAGCCATCTCATGTCTAGATAATTTGCTGAATGCCCTTAGGCTGATTCCAAGTCCTAGTACAGCTTAGGGACTTAGATAGTTTATCAAAACATGTATTCATAGTCATAGATTCCCCCTCATTTGTATTTGTGTCATAACCCACAGGACTCTAGAGATGAAAGAACAATTATCATGATTCTTTCAAACCATGCTTTTTGGCCAATAGCAATAAAGATGCTTTGATAAAAAATAAAATAACATTCAATTTAGCTCAGTGAACACTGAGCACTTACCAAGAATAAGGCACATTAGGCTCTAAGGAAAAACTGAGAATATCACAAAGCAAACATTTCACAGTGGAATGCAAACCTTTAAATTAGTTGATTGATATGGAGATAAGTAAGAAAGAATAACTAGTTAACAGGAAAGAGACATTGATTTATCAGTTCCTAAGGACTGAGTTAAGGAGATTGGGAGGTGCTTTTCTACCTGTGTTTTTGACACCCATGAAATCCCTGCTGTCTGAGCCCCCAAATTACCTTTCACACTCAACTACTCCTCAGAATTTTCCACATCATCCTCTGTTGGTCTGAACTACTGTCATTTGTCAGGTAGACATCCCCCTTAACCTGCTATCTAGTCTGCCTGTACACTTTCAGTCTCCCAATCTCCAGCACAATTCTAGATGGCCCCAGGAATTATCTTTCCTTTCATCTAAATTAAAACATATGCATCCTCACGGCATGATACACCATCTCATTTTCAGGGAAGACTTTCCTATCCTCCTTGACTGAGTCAATTTCACCTAAAAGAGGTTTCACTGCATTATGAGCCTCTTTAACATAACACTTTAAATTTCTTACTAGTATTAGTCTCTTCCATTATACTATAATCTCAATATTGGCAAAGGCCAGTTATGGACTCAATTCTGCACAGTAATTGGGCCTTAAAATTATTTTTACCCTCATTGAGCTTATTGTAAAGAGAAAAAGTGACTAGACCAGGGCTTTGCACTTAGTTAGCTATTACTAACTATATATATATATATAGACATAAACACACACACACACACACACACATTTATTGTATATATAGACATTTAGCGTATATATACACACACTAAAAGTATAAGACACTGAATGTCTATATATACACTAAAATGTATGAGACACTAAATGTCTATGTATATAGTAAAATGAAATAAAATGAAATAAAAATGATTTTAGTAATATATACACTAAAATAAAATAAAAATCAAAAATACATATCTATATATACACACTCATAGTGTATATAATTATATATAATATATAGTGTATATACATATATACACACAGTAATGAATGTATATATAGTATTTTATTTTTAGTTTATTTCAGTTTATTACATCTATATATACTCATTTTAGTTTTATTTATACTCATTTTTTCATTCATTATATAGCTTACTAAGTATACATACTGAATGTAAAAGTGAATAACCATTAAATATCTTTAAGACTGAAACATGGTATGATTTATGTGGGAATTTAGGTTTGACCGTTTAACTCATACAGAAGAAAACCCAAAAGAAAATCCATAATTAAAAGCTATCACTTTTATATATTTAACTGAAATATAACAGCAAGTCCTACTAAAAATACCCTTACAGAAGCCACAATAGGTGGCCCATATGGGGACATGAGGAAGGGTGAGTAAAACATGGATCCCAAAATCTCTTTCTCTTTTGTTTCTGAGCTTTCTTACTCACAGACATTTTCTGAGGGCAGGGGAAACTGCACCCTCCTACCCCGTCCCTCTCAGGGGTTGGGAATGTTGGCCTTGATCCAACCCAGTCTTTTCTATGGCATTTTCCTCCTTTTTTGGGAATATAATGACATTGTCTTTTACAATATTTGGGGTGTTCTACCCCAACCCCAATGGCCACAGGTGCATACACTGGAAGGGTGGGCAAGGGACAGCTCCCTGCTCCTTTCCTTTCCAGCTGTGGAACATGATTTTTCTTGCCACATGTACATGCAGCATCCAACGGCTACACACAGCAGGAATGAACCACAGCCACTGCCACTGCCCAGAACCCAGGATGGCCTTGGGGACCCATGCTCCACGTGGCCCGCTGGCCAGCATTTCCCATCACTGTCTAAGGTGTCTTCCCCTTTCCCAGCTGAAGGATCAAGCTCAGTCTGACAGAAATTAAAAGTTTCTCTTCCTGTTGAAGAAACTCATTTGCATAAGAATAAGAGATTTCTTCCCCAGGCATCTTTTTTTTCCTCCAACCCGTCAGCAATTAATGCAGCTCTGTACTTAAGTTTTGTTTTGTTTTTTTTTTTTTGGTTGTTTGTTTGCTTATTTTTTAATTTTCTCCACCCTGTCAGCAGTTAATACAGCGCTGCATTTAAGCCTTTTTTTTTTTTTTTCTTTTCCCCACCAGGTCAGGAGTTGTTGAGTAGGTAAGAAAGTAGTTGTGGTTTTTTTTATTAATAAGAATGGCAGGGACCGTGATTACTCTTGCACCAACATAGTAACACAGCCCTCTTCTCTATACCGGAGGGTTTTTTGTTGTTGTTGTTGTTGTTGTTTTGTTTTGGAAGGTGTCTTATTAGATCAGGACACCAATTCATAAGACATCTTTTCTCTCCCATGTTTGAGGAGGCAGCAAAGGAGCAACACCACTGGCTGCTGGCTGCAGTCTGATGAGAGACACCTGGGACTTGATGAGTCCATGCACCCTTGAGGCAGTTCTTTTGTCCCAAACTCAATTCCAAGCTCAGGTCGAAGCCCTAAGAAAGAAAACTGGATCTGAGGGATCCAGAGGTGGACAACAACAGAAGTTAAAAGGTACACACAGCTGAGCATGGCTAATTCCTGCTGATTAAACCAAGTCTCCAATTTCATGGATAAAGGTCATGCTAGTATCCATGGCATAAATGAGGTCTAGGAAACTAGAAGGCTATTGACAGCAGGGAGAAAGGCAGCACATGGGTAAATGTGGATAATTGCACCCACTAGTCCCTCTGTTGGCATTGGTGAAAAACCACATTGGTACCCACGGTACCAGGGCTGAGGTCGCTGAGACTCAGGGATATAAGAATGGAAGAAAGAAAGAGGATGCTTTTTCCTTCTCTCCCTCACGTATTCTAGGTATTCACTAGGAAGAGAAAGGAAATAGGGATGCCTGGCTCCCCTCTTTCTAGATGTGTAGCCATTCATCTTCAGTCTGTTCCCCTTTCAAATGCATCCTGAACGCCTGGAGCATACAGAAAAGAGGTAAACAAGATTACCTAACATGTTTAGGAACTTGGGATTGCCAGAATGATGTTTAATATCCTTCAGGTTATATTTTAGTAAGTAATATTCATATATGTTCCAAAATTGTATAGGTTTTCTAAAATTCTAATGTCTGAGTATATGCTATCAATCACAATTAAGGGTGTTAAGTTATTGTAAACCACAGAGATAAACAGATTTCTTTGTCAATTGTGTTTTTGACTATAACTACCTTGAACATTTTTGTTCTTTGCAGACAACTGTTGTCTTGTTTTTATCCTCTTCAAAAGATGGTTTATAATCAGCTATAGAACTTTGACAGGTACTCTCAAATACAGGTTTCTGATAACTTTGGAGATTTTGACATTGGAATAAAGGAAAAACATGCAGGACTCATGAAGAGCTGAAATTTTCATTAATATCAAGCAGAACAAGAGTTAACTGAATGGACTGAACTACTAAAAACCTGAGATTATCTTTTTTTTTTTTTTTTTACTCTTCTTTGTTTTGTTTTTCAGACTCAAGGTAACTTTCATTTTGAGTTACTTACAGTACTTAATAATCAAGTAAAGTATATTCCTGTGAACAAAATTTGGAGCATATTTGCTCGTCTATGCCTGCTTCCTTTAGAATTTGGAAATTATCTGTGAGTATTCTGAACTCATGGCAATATAGTTATTTGCATCAGTGCAGTAAGAATTCATTTTCTTTGGCAACAGCATACAATTGGAGGAATTGGTTGTTTTACCAAAGCTTTGGCTCGAAGGGTGTGTTTCCCTTTAAGGAATCAAATTTGATTTGCAGAGCCAATACAAGCCTCTAGAGAAAAGTGGCCTCATACCTTGTCTACACAGTCTCTGTACTGGGTTCCTAACCTGTATGAATAAAGAATGTGACTCTCTAACAGACCCAGCCACCCCATGTTTGTGGGACCTCAAGAAGAGAGGAATTTACCCAACTCAAAAGTATTTGAGGGTACAATCCCATTGCTGGGCTTGGCTTTAAAGGGTCTTATCTGATGTTCCTTGTGGAACAGACTTCTATCAAAGTCAATTTAAAAGGCCTATGTAAAAATAACTATTTTTTCTGCACTTTATGCCAATAAATAGGCCAGGTATAAGACTAAAGTTTATTTTACAAACAACTCAGTACTATCATGATTTGTTTTTAACAAAAATGAGGACTGAAGAGAGAGAAATTATGTTTCTAAACTTATGCATTTGTCATTAAATTCTAGACTCATTAATTGTTTTTAAGTTTTTGGCCTACATTTTAGACCAACCCTGTTTATTCCTGTAAACCAACCAGTGATCTCTGGCTGCCGCTCAGAAGAAAAAAAGGGATGGGTAATGTAAAAATCTGGTCCAATATTCTAGTTCTGGACAGTTATCCTACAAATTCTGCCAGGTGATAGGAATAAATAGGGTGCCCATAACGCAAAGGTTTATTTTTTGAGAAATTAAGACCAAGAGAGCTAACCAAAGCCAAGCCCCATGGACACTAATCTTAGCAGGCATAACTACGGCCACCAGGTTATCTGGGCATGATGGCAGCCTAGGGATTTTTGAGCTATCCTTACCCAACCACCCCTTGTTTCATTTTGATACATTTCTTCTAATAAATCGGTTTGTCTCTTCTCATGTTTAGGCCATTGAAATCCAAACAGTCATGCAACCAGAGCTTCTAATAATTACCTCCTTTTACCTGGGACCCTTAGATAGGCCTCTGAGGGAGATCTGACTGCCATTTTCCCGAAACAGCACTCCGTCAGCAGGAAGCAGTTAAGACAGGTCATTGTCCTTATCCTTATCCTAATGGCAGTTAGATGTACTTCTTCAGAGTGGAGAATGATAGAGGCAGAAGACAGTCAAATGCCTAAGCAGATAAGGAAGGGTCCCTGGAGAAGCTCTAATCCCCCAGGTCATTGAGCACAGGGAGCTTCCCTAAACATGTGCATGGTGAAACATTCCGTCCCTTAACACATGTGCAGTAAAGGAAATAAATCAATGGGGAGCACTTCAGACTAAAAGCCCACATGTGCACTGGAAGAATGGGGTGAAGTCACCAGGAATTTGTGCCTTATGCACAAGGAGCTTAGCCTCTTCAGCTCATGTTGGTGGTCTGGTATTTGACTTTGTGAGGTGGAAACCTGCTTACAGAACCCCTCTTTTTCTTGAGAGCTTTCCTTTTGCTTAATAAATTCCACCCTCCTCATCTTTCAATATGTCTGCGTGCCTAATTATTCCTGTCATGAGACAATAACCTGGATTTTAGCTGAACTAAGGAGCAAAAAGTACTGCATCACTAATATCAAATACTATATGCATATGGGGAAGCCAGAGTGGAAGAATGTGCTATTCACATCTTCCCAACTTCTTCCCAACTATATTTCTTCAAGTCAGTGCTCTCAGAAGGTAGAAGCAGAAATCTTTAAGGAGGTAAAATTTCACATATATGTACATTGTATATTTTTTTCATAAAAAATCACAGATACATAAAATATCACATTGCATTTTTCCCACGATATTAGTCATTACTGAAGATCATACTCATTCCTCAGAAGGCTTACAAAGTCAGGAAAATATAGTTGGTCGTTTTGATGTCTAGTTTAATTAATTTAGTTAAATTTCATTTCATAATCATCATGACAAGGAAATGGACAGCAATATTATCCACTGCTAATTGCCTATTAAGGGTTCATTTACTGTACCTTTTGTTTTACAACAAAAATTGGTTTTTATTTATTTATTTATTTTTTTAGGAATCTACTTTCTCCCATAACCATATGTCTCAGGAAAATCTTTTTTCACTCAGAGCCAAGAGCGTGGCAGAGAATAAGCCTGTCCATAATTTGAGAAATGAAGAGGAAGTAAATAATTTTTGCCATTACATTTTGAAGAGAAGTATATTATATGCCTATAAAAACAACCATACAAGAGAAAAAAACTGATGACTTGACTGAAGATGGTTGCAGTGGGAATACAAAATTGAAATTATAGGCACCAATAAAAAAGATAGGTTTAGCAGAAGTTGGTTAATAATTTATGTGAGGTCTAAGGAAAGTGAAATATAAAGGAGACCCTCAGATTTCTCTCCAAATGGCAAAGTAAGATCCTAGCAAATAAAATCACACAGATTATCACAAGAGATTTGGGGATGCAGAACTTGAATTTGAGAAATTTTCTAGAGATGATGATAAACCTTGGGAAGTAAGATGCTCTGTGTTGAAAATCAGCATTGTGGTAATGTGGGACATTACCATGAGATGTAGTAATAAAATGGTCATAGAACACAGCCATACAGAGAATACAAATAATTATGATGGAGGAAGGGAAGAATGCAAAGTCTGAGAAGTCAGTTAGCCAGCTAACAAATAGAGAAATAAAAAAAGATAAAGAGGGAGAAAGGCAGACAGAAAAAGTTATTCACTGAAAGTGGAAAATGTTAGTTGGTAGAAATATTATACAAAATTGGAGAACATTAGGATGAGGAAAGATCATTAGATTTCTTAGCTAGAAAATGAGAAGCAAATTTTTACTGTGTATTTCAGTTGAGGTTTTCTGAAGACAATTTTACTTGCATCCCACAAAAATGATTCTCATAATAAAATATGTTACACATTCAGGGAATAAAATTAAGAAACACTGATATGGAAAATGTGTACAAAGTACGTGGTGTATTCTTCATGTGTGTAGTGGACATATTTTGGATGGCTCTAATTTTACATTGTGAACACAGAAATGTGTTAATCATAGAAGTGTTATCCCAGCCAATATCCCCAAGCATGTGATGTAAACAAATGTGGAATTGGATTAGTAGAAACATATTTTCAAACTTTGCTGAACTAGCAACAGCTGCATTAGAGTAATGGCTTGAGGAGTTGCAGGTCATCAGCATTTATACTGTTGTTCCCAGAAGCAATAACATTTTCAAGCATTACATTGGCAGTGACACCCATGCAATTAAAAAAAAAAAATCTCCAAGGGAAAAATACAGTTTAAATGAGAATTTCATCCTGAATTTTATTTCAGCTTTTGAACTTCTAATATAAACTGCTTTTAAAGGAAAGTGGTTCAATTCAGACTATGTCGACATGCTATTTTAACAAAGATTGTATCACTAAACTGTATTAAATGTGACCAGAAATTGTGAATAAAATGTATGTGTATTTTATGCTGAGGTTTATCAGGTTTCTCTTTAATCCAGGAAAGTAGAGGAGAGTTGTTTGTTTACTAATTGGAGAGAATTATACATTTGTTCACAGAGGAACACTTGCAATGAAAAGAGAAAACACAAAAGGCAAAGTTTAGAAAGGGCTGAAAATGTTAAAAGTTCAGTGTTACATCATGCAAAATAATAAAAATACTAAAACTGGACAGAAAAAAATTAGGTGAATATAATGTTTTTGGAAAATAATGGCATAGTGCTTCATGGTCCCCAGGGACCTAATTATGAACTCTTTTGAATAGTGCACCTCAAATATTGACAGACAGACTGTTTATATTTTGTTCTTAATTAAAGATTCTCCCCTCACACCCCAGAAAGGGTTTATCAGACATCTTTCTACACTAACAAGCATAGTGTGAAGCCACATGTTGGGAGGCAAAAATAAATGAATAAAGAAAAGGGAGTACAAATGTCTTCACAAACTAGAAAAGAGAAACTTTTCTATAACTTTCAAGGAAAAAAAAAGATCTTTTCACTTAGCTGTCTAAGTTTCCAGTCATTTTTTTTATATTTCCCATATTGCACATAAAGATCAGTCACACATTTTTGAGCTCCCAGAACAGCATCTATAGTGGTAAATTTTATGAAAAATAGCAATCTGGGGATAATCTTATAAAAACAGTATGACTCTTCAGTTTCTTTGATGAATGCTTTTAATCCAATTTCTATCTAGAAATTCCTAATTTTTAGTTTACTTTTTTACTCTAAACAGGAAATTGACAATGTTCTAATTGTATCAGGTTTATTTTAGTAATAATGTCCTGTCTTGAGACTGTTGGAAAAAAAAAAAGAGAGTAACACTGACAACCTAGCCAGAATATTGTACAATATATTGATTTATTGAAGGGTCAAATGGCAAAGAACAGGAACATTAGAAATATAAATAAGTTGCAGTAGTATATTTCAGGTGCAGACAAGTTTTTACTTTATGTCAGTATCTTTACTAGGGACTTTCTAGATGTACCATTTAATTGAGCTCCCAAGTACGGCAAATAGTATATTGTTATCCTCTTTTTATATAGAACAGAACATGAACATAGACCTGTCTGGTCGCAAAGAAGGGCTCTTACGATTTTTACTAGTCAATGTTTAGAGCTAGCCCTTAAAGGAGAAAGCTTTCTTACAAAAGTGCGATTCACCAGAAGAAACATTGACTTTGGTTTCCTCGAAATGTACTGAGCACTCATTAGATAATTTGTACCGAGCATTAATTAGTTATTTTGGCAGAGTTCTGGTTTTCAGGGGTGCTATTTAGTCAACCACACTTGTCTAACTAGGATTTTTAGCAAATATATTTTTGTGGCCTTGTATATTCTTTCTATTCTACTACTATTCTTTGTATCTCTTTTGCTTTCTAGTCTTTAATTACTTAATTACTCTTAAGAAGAATTTGCGTCATTCCAAAATGTGTTTTCTTATTCGCCCACATTGTTTGCAGAGTTTAAAGTTTACTTTGTTCTATTAAGCATCAAAATATTTTAAACATTATAAAAATATAATAATATTTAGAAGCTGTAAAATATTAATGATTTTCCAGGTGATGGACTAAAATATTGACATAATTCTCAATGTATAGATTCTGAAGAAGATAATTAAAGATTATATTTTATCTCCTTCTTTGGAAAAATAAAGGCATATCACAGCCAAATAATCCCATTCTTAGAACCTACATTTCAGGTGATTGAAAAATGTTTACCTATCACATTTTCTAAACAAAAGACAAAATCCAGAGCTGTGTACTGTGTAAGAATTAAACCACTGGAACCATTGCAACAAGGCACTCTGCTCTTCACTGCGGATGTCATGCCACTGTGTTTCTACTGTGGTGACATTTGACTAATGTGGGACCATTGAGATAAAAACATACTCCCAAATGTGAATAAGTTTTTCCTTTTAATGTTAATCTATTTTCCAGCTCTTTCCTATCATTTATTGCTAAAAACTAAACACCAAATTTTCTTAACTTCTCTCCTAAGAGGACCTAATTTAAGTATATAGTTATCTGAATATACATTATTCTTCTAATGTGAATACACAGTTAGTATCATAGAAACAAAATGGTTAAAGTCCTGTGAGAAGTCACCAAACTTACCGGCCTGTTACAAAGAAGTTGACCTTGTCAACAATATAGGCACAAAATTAACCACATTCTTTAAAAAAAAAAAATCTCCAGAAAAGAACAAGCAAACAAATCTGATTTCTGAAGAACAATCCCTGAGAAATTTCTATGATTAATCTTTTTAAACCACTTTATATCATAGGCTTTTGAAATATTTTCGCCAAGGCTCACATTAAAACCAAACAGAACAAAATAAAAACAAACATATGAAACCCAACATATTATAAACCAGTTCTCTATCTCATACACACACCTTCTTACTCTGCCACAAACAAAACTTTTCTATGTTGTATTCTAATATTTTCACTTCTCTTGTTCTTCTATCTTATCTCATTAATTTGATATAGTAACCATACAATTTGAAAATTAACTCTTTAACCCAGAGGCGGTAACTTCCTGGAATATGAGACATATCTGTTTACAGCTTGAATAATGAATCTGATGCTTTATGGCAATCTTAGCATTTTCAGCTAACATATATAAATATGCTCAATAAAAATGTTAAAAAAAACACTTCTTACATTAATTTCTGTTGTACACATTACAACCTGAAATTTGTCTTTGGGTTTGCTTTGAAAAGTAACATTGAACAAGGAAAACGGTAACACAGGAAAAGTTAAAGTAGGATTGTTTTTGTGCCATGTCCTTTGAATAAGATTTACAAAACCATAGGTTTAACTTATTCAATCCAATAAAAAGTAATTATCAATGAGTTGGGAGGTTGACTACTTATCTGAAGTTGCTCAAAGGTTATTTAACTGATAAACTCATCAAAACTTTTTGACATTGTTTACATACCTTTGTATATGTTCATTTCCTTAACAAAGTATAAAACTAAAAGAAAAAATATTTCCAATTTTTTGTTAAAGAAAAATTTATTCATTACTTTCAAAGTTAGAGTTTTCCTATGTAAATGACCACTTTAAAAATAATTTTCTCATGGATAATAACTCCAAAGATAACACGACAGCATTGGAACATTTAACATTGTTATACCTATAATCTTTTAATGTTGAAATGCATTTTTGGATGTAATAGTCTATTTTCTATAAAACACAAAAATTATCCCTACATATATAAAGGATTATTTTTGTCAGATTCATAACATCTCTTCAGAGATAAAAATTATTTGAAACATGTTAAAAATATAAAAGTGCTGTTATAATTAAAAGTTGAATTAAGCTTTGCTTTTGAAACAGTTAATACAGCACAGAAAGCCATGACAAATCTGCCCCACCGCCCTGGACAAAAGGACCTGGGGATGACCCAACTTTTTATTGAGTATTGCCTTTTCAGATGTTCATTATGTACATGGTGATGGTCTGCAGGGGGAAAGGTAGTGAGAAAGATTGAGCAGCCAGTAGTCTGAGTCCTCTCACCGTAGAAATGTGCCCGCTTGCCCACCAAGCAAGCACTCTTGTTCTTGCCCTCTCTGCCCTTTTGCCAATTCTGCCTCTGGTTTCTGATGATGTTAGAACTGTTTCACCCTCATTCTACCCAGTGTGACTCCATGCCTGTCTTAGGTAGTAGCTTTACCCAGTGAGACATGTCCCAGCTTCCATCATACATGCTCTCTGATGGAAAGGTGACTGAGTCAGAGGAAGCTCTTTAGGATACTCTCCCTAGCTTTGTTGCTAATCCAGGGCCAACACTCTTTGCCATGGATTACGTGAAAAGATCCATGCCACTGCCTTTCAAGAGCAAGCTGAAGAGATGAGGGCTTCTTCCTTCCCACTGCTACTCTCTTGCCCCATCAGGTCCTGAGCAGCTGGGCCTGAGAGGTTCAAAGGACCATCTGTCCTATCTCTTTGCACAGTAGAAGTCTAGGAGTTCCATCTGTGGTCCCTTTTCCGCAAATTTCTACCTCATCCTTCCTTCTATTCTGCCAGCTGTTTTACTTACTATTAGATTTGAACTATTTATGTAAGGAGATAATATGAAAATGCATCTATTATATAGATGGATAGATAGATAGAGAGATAGATAGATAAAACAAAGTTGCCATTATTAGTTTAAATAAAGTGTTATCCATTCTTTTTTTGTGAACATAAAAGTTCAATTATACAGATTATAAAACTAACTTTATGTGATCAATTTTTATAACTGTCACTAAGGATCAATATGCTATTATGTTTTTCCATTCGCCATTTTCACTCAATAAGACTTGCTGTTTTTTGTTTTCTTTTATCTTTCAATTTCCAGGTCAAGTTCTCATTTTCTCATTTTGTGTCAGCCTATGCTGATTGTTTTCTGGTTTTTTATACAGCCCTTGCTGATTAATTTTTTATTACCATCTTTGAGTATATGTTGTAATTAGCTAAGGTAAGAATAATTAAGAATAGATCACTGTGAAAAATAATGAAATTATATTTTATGTTTTCCTCTCCTTTCTTAGAGCTGTCATTATTATTATTGCTAAATGTTAAGGCTCACTGTCTGAGCCTTTAATTAGGAAACTTCCCCCAAAGCTAGTATTAGTCAACATTAAAACACATGGTGCTTCCTGAACTTTGGCATCAAAAGAAATTAATAGTTTACCCTGAATGACATCACTAGTCATCATCAGGCAGGAAATGTCTAGTTTTACTGCTCTCTGTGTGGATTGTGGCACTGAACTATTAAATCATGGTCACCTTAGGTTATATGCCTTTTTGTTTTTTACAACAACACATTAAGCAATTCAGTTCAAATTATATGTCATTCTAATTGGAACTGGAGAGCAATTAACTTTTCTGTGGCAAAATATCATGTACTTTTTTCTTTTTACCCATCAAAGGGAATTTTGTCAAGAGAAGACTAGAACTTCATATAAATTAAAATTGTTGCTATAAATTGATCTCTGTTGTAATTAGCTTACGAACTACTTTAACTATGACTAAAGATAAGAACTAAGAAATTCAATAACTAGTGACTATTTGGCCACTTGACATAGTATCACTTCTCATGAGTCAAGATCAGTGCAAGTTCTAATACAAATGAATAGATTTTTCTCCATTATATAAAAAAGAGAAATGTATAAGATGTCCTTTTTCTCACTCTAGCATCAGTTTCCTTAAACTTAGATTAATGAAAACGACTATGTTTATAAATTATAAATAATTATAGGACATAAGACAGCACCATAAGTCTCATACCACAGAACTAAATAACAGACAAGAAGTTGCATAAGCAGAATTTATATTATCTTCCTCCACATGCATAATTGGATACATTCCCTGGCTCTATTGTAAATTATAATTCAACATAATTCAGTTAAAAAATGGTAGATTCATCTATTTATTTCTGCTTCTTTTTCTTTCTCTGTCCATTTTCTTCTTTCAATGTAACATCAAAAAGTGCTGAATTATTGAATTTTGGTAACAAGCTAGAAAAATATCCAGGAATTAGTCAATTGTCAAAAATAAAATATAAGGTATTACAGAAATGTGATAGAAAACAGCCATGCAATGTCAGACATTTTTGATAATCTGAAGAGACATTTCAATTTAAAATTGAATATATACATGTGAAAACAAAGTATGAGATTTTGTTGTACTGCTAAATATATAGGAGAAGCCCCGGATAAACTGATTTATAGAGTAACAGCATGTATATACATATATTACACAGAGGCCAAAGTCAGAACATACTTCAGTTCTCTGTTAAATATTTTTTCATATTTATATCAAAACCCTCCACTTTATCAACTTAACAAGTTACTATATAAGGAATATATGTGTTTTACAGCTGATAGTCTGATACTTAATTGGAATTATAGTTGCTGAGGTCCAGTATACAGTTAAACATTTTGAGACATATAATTTAATCTGTGTACTTTAAGAAAATATATGTAAAAACTCACATTCATTTATTTAATGAATACTAATGAATATTAATGAACACTATTTAATGAATATTAATGAATACATTAATAATTAATGATGATTAATATGTATTAATCATCATCTTTGGCCAAGTTATGTGTAAGGGGTAGCAGTTAACAAAATGTCAAAATGCCTTACCCTTAGCAGGATGGATAGATATTTAATAATTTAATAATCAATTGAACAGTTTATATTTTGATTAGAAGTATGATGCGGTATTTATCAGAGAAGTTTAAGTTTATGAAACAGTGTATAATAGGGATATGAAGTTATCCTAAAGGTCAGTGAAAAGCTCTCTTAAGAAGAGCTGATTTACTCTGAAAACTCAAGAAAGTGAAAGAGTTAACTTACAAAATGATAATGATTAATTGGGTAAGGGAAGATGTGGAAATACAAAGTTGAAAAGCAAAATCCCTGAGGAAGGAAAATATTCTATTTATTACAGGAATTGAATGAAAGTCAATATGGCAGTTGAATACCTGTAAGTTGCTGATAGTGTGATGCTGGAATAGACTAGAGAGACAGAAGCTAATTATTCAAGGGACCACAGGGCATGTTGATAATTTGTTCTTTATGCTAAGAACAATGTGGGGGAAGGTTTCATACTAGTCAGAGTTCTTCAGGCAGCTGACTTAAACACGCCTCAAACTAAGTGTATGGAGAATGTATAGACTCACATTACTGAAAAGTCTATGATTTATATCTTATTGTGATAGATTGAATACAGAAATGGACAATAGCCAGACCATATGTAAAAATAGAACTCTGCCCCATAAACTGCATCTACCTATCCAGGAAATCCTTTATTTAAAGTCACCAGCCCAGGAGGCCAGCCTGCAGTAAGTTTTGCAGAGAGCCATATTGCTATCTCTACTGACAGTCTAGGAAGCCAAACAACAATCCCTGTAATAAGAGGCTCCTAATAGTCAAGACTTCATGAGTCACTAGCAACTTCCCTATTTTTTGTGCCTGCTTCCAACTTAAAACCAACTAAGGATATCTAAATATGCACCCCAATGAATACCCTAGCCAATACAATTCTCTGCTATTAGTTAGCCTGCCTACATTTCCCTATGCCAACAGCCTCCAACTTGGGCATACTGAAGCCTTCCCTTTTTCCCATTATAAAACTTTCCCACCTCTCTACCTACCTTTGAGTCTCTGCTGAAATGCAAGTGAAAGCGCTGACTACCTTGCTACAAGTTCAGAATAAATAACTTTTGCTTGTTCTCATTTGATTGGTCTTTATTTCCACAACTAAATTAAGACACTCACAGAAGCTATTAGTCATCTCTCTCTCCTTCTCGCTATATATATATATCCATCTCCCAGGTCAACTTTCCTCTATTTTATTTTCTTTCATAAGATAAAGATGTCCACAAGCAAATCAAGGTTTATACCATGCTACAGAAGGAAATCGCAGAGAAAAACAAAAATATGTATGGTATAGACAGATGTAGAAAAATGTCCAGGGTGAATCTAGTCCCATCTTAGAGCACGGGTCCATTTCTGCATCAATAATTGGTTCCAAGTGGGCGAGTTCATTGGATTTGTTACTGGACTGCATAAGATTACTTTGGGGCAGAATTGTTGTCTAGTTGCACTTTTATTTTAGATAAGCAACAAATACTTTAAAATACAATAATGGCCCATGGAATAATATATGAAAATATTTACTGTTTGCCTCAGATTCAAATTTACCTGGGCATTTTGTGTATTGTATGGTAACCCTCCTGGTAGGGTAGTGAAGGCAAAGCCATTACAACTCATCCAGCCAGGTGTGAGTTTGTTCAGGGACACACCCAGAAAGAAAACATATTCAGCTGAAAACAGTAATAGATGCTACTAAATATTTCAAACTAAAACAACAAAAAAATAAGATGATTTGAAAAAAATAAGCCTGTTTGCTATGTTGCTGGGAAATTAGAATAAGTAAGAGAGTGTAGAATTATCCTAGTGCAGCCGATAAGTTGAGATTGTACGTAAGCGGTTTCAACTGGAATGATGATACAGGTATTAAAACAAACACATTAGACATGGGTAATAGAATGAATAGAGGTTTGTAATTGTCCATTGTTAGTTAAGGAAAGTAAACTTTACAAGATTACAATTAAGCTGCTAGAATTTTAAAAACTTAACAGGTGTAATGGATTTAAGGTTACTTTGTAAATTTAATTTTATTTTTATTAAGCAAATATAAACAATTCAAAAATAAAGCTTAAAGCAATGACATTTAAATCACCACATGACTGAAACATTATAATTACCACATGACTGAAAATAAAGTTAATAAAATCTGGGTAAGATCTCTACACAGTAAGATATAAAGCTATTGAGAGTAGTTGCTGAATACCTGATTAACTACAGGCAAACACTCTGTTTATTGATTAGAACATAAATATGTAAAGTTGAAAATTTCCCCACATTTGTATATAAATATATTGCAACCACAATTAAAATCCCAGCAAGTGTTTTTGTAAAAATGCATAAGTTGGTTCTAAAATAAATATGGAAATACAAAGAGCTAAATATAGCCAAGGCAATCTTGGAAAGGCACATGGTAGTTGAACATACTTTACCTTATTCTAAGACATGTATTAAATACCTTCAGAGATTTGGCATTGATACAAGGATAAACAAAAAGACAATGAAACAGAATTGAGTCTTAAAGCAGAACAAAGTACATATGCCTAATTATTTAAACCAAACCAGACTTGCAGAACAAAGTTAACATCATTCTTTCCAATTAAGGGTTCTGGCTCAATGAAAGTTCAATAAAGAATATCTGTATGAAAAACATGAAAAAAAATGACGTTTCTTTCATCACAAAGTCAAGCATAATAAGCAGACTTACAGACTGTAGATGTATATGTGAAAGAAAAAAAGAAGGAAATGAGTGGTGGATAATAGATTAGTATATAACAATTACATTTGTGTTAGAAATGATTCTTAAATAGAAAACAAATTGTTCTATGAATGAAATAATTTAGAAGTCTGACATATTAAAATTAAGAAATTCTCTATTAAAATATCACATTAGCAACCAAAGTTATATAAAACAGAATTTTAAAGACAGAGAAAATATTTGAAACACATATATCCAGCAACAAGCTTATGCTAATACATTTTTAAGACCATAGAAAATGGAATGATGGAAAGTATCCTGTTTTAAGTGAAGTGATACAATAGTAACTCTAAGTAGACTGTAAAAAGTTATGAATGCATATCAAAATTCCTATATCATCACAAAAATATATAAGCTTAATAACTAAAACAATAAATACATTAAAATTAAATTCTAAGAAACTCAATTCAAAAGAGATAGGTAAGTAGAAACAGAAGATTAAAAATTAGAGCGAATAAATAGAATACAAATACTAAAAAGATAGACCTATATCCAATTATTTCAATAATTGTATTAAATGTTGCTGGACTAAATAATCCAGTTAGTTATTATTACATATTACACTCAGGTAGCACCAGGGGCCTCCTTTTTTTCCATTACTTTTTTTCTTCCTTCAATATATTACAATGTTTGTAATGAAGATAATTATTTGGAACGACTAAAAAAAAGAAAAAAATTACTCAGCCACTTATATTCTTTCACTGTCTATAAAACAATTATTTATACAAATTTAAGCACAATGGAAAAGCAAAGAAACTTAAGTTTAAAAACTAAACAACATTTGTGTCAAATAGGCAGCATATATCCCCCAAATTCAAAGTCAAGTGCTTCCTCCTCTGCAATTATGCAAAAACTTGGGTGATTTACATTTTTGTTAGTCAAAATACAGTAAGCAAATAATGTACTTTGCTTAACAAAATACGATGTGGATGAGTAACAGAATTTTGTAGAGAATCACAAGAATCTAGAACTAATCGTCATGTGATTATCATGAAACCGTTGTGAAGATAAGCCTGTCACTGGGCATAGAGCAATCTTATCTGTTCATCTAATATGGAGGAAACCTCTTATTTGAATTTCTTCTCAAATTTTGTTCTTTTATATAGGAATTATATGTCCTATACTGATAATATAAACACTAATTTGTAGTGATTTTCCTGCAATTCCTTCTTCTTCTCTCCAAGTGCTTAGTGAACATCATCATTGTCAGACATAAACTAGGCCTTAAAATTCGTATTCAAACTTTGAATACGTAATTATCTTCAGGTAAAACATGTAGTCTTTGAGATTTATCTGTTTGATGCTTTTGGAGATTCTTTATGGTGTAAAATATACATATACATAAAAAAGGAACTGCTTTAGTTTGAATTTCTCAATGTTAGCTTCTTGAAATAAGACAAAGAAAATGGAAAACTACAGTCATACTTCAGAGACACTGCAGGTTCTGGATGCAAAATCTCTGAAGTATGACTGCAGATAAAGCAACAAAACAAATATTGCAATAAAGCAAATATTGCAATAATGATAGCCACACTTTTTTTGTTTCTCAGTGTATATAAAACTTAGGTTTACACTATACTGTAGTCTAGTAAATGTGCAATAGCATTATTTTATGGATAAATATGCCAACAAGCATGGTCATCTGAGTCTTCAGTGAGTCCTGAGTTTTTGTTGGTGGAGGACTTGTCTCAATGTTGATGACTACTGTCTAATAAGGATGGTGGTTGCTGAAGGTTGAAATGGCTGAGGTAATTTTTAAAATAAAGCAATGAAGTTTGTCCCATTGACTGACTCTCCATTTCATGAAAAATGTATCATGCACTGCTACTTGATAGCATTTTACCCAGAGTAGAACTTCTTTCAAAATTGGAGTCAATCCTCTCAAACCCTGCACTGCTTTATCAATGAAGTTTACGTAATATTCTAAATGCTTTGTTGTCATTTTAACAATGTTCATAAAATCTTCATTGGTTAGATTCCATCTCAAGAAATCACTTTCTTTACTCACCCCTAATATGCAACTCCTTGTCATTTCAAGTTTCATAATGAGATTGCAGCAAATCAGGCGCATTTTCAGGATCTAATTCCTAATTCCGGTTCTCTTGCTATTTCCACCACACTGCAGTCACTTTCTCCATTGAAGTCTGAACACCCCAAAGTCCTCCATGAAGATTGGAATCAACTTCTTCCAAACTCCTGTCAATATTGATATTTTGAACTACACCTATGAATCACCAATGTTCTTAATGGCATCTAGAATGGTGAATCTGTTCCAGAAAATTTTCGATTTACTTTTCCTAAATCTGTCAGAGGAATCACTATCTATGGCAGCCATAGTCATATGAAATGTCTTTCTATAATAAAACTTGAACATCAAAATTACTCCTTGATCCATGAACTATGGAATAACTGGGGTGTGAGCTAGCATGAAATCAGCACTGACCTCCTTGTATATCTCCATCAGAGCTCTTACGGGACCAGGTGATGTGAATGAACAATAATATTTTGAAAGGAATCTTTTATTTGGGGCCGCATGTCTCAAAATATTTAGTCAACCATGCTGTAGATCAATGTGCTGTTATCCAGACATGGCTCTTCCATTTTAGAGCACAGGCAGAGTAGATTTATCATAATTCCTTTTTTAAAAATTACATTTTAGATTGAGGGGATACATGCACTTGTTGTTCACCTGAGTATATTGCATAATGCTGAGGTTCAGGGTCCAAATGACCCTGTCACCCAGGTACTGAGCATAGGACTCAATAGATGATAGCTTTTCAAGCCTTTTTATCCCTCTTTCCCCTCCCTCCTCTACTAGTCCCCAGCTTCTATTGTTCCCATCTTTATGTAGATGAGTATTCAATCTTTAGCTCCAACTTATGAGAACATGCAGTATTTGCTTTTCTTTTCCTGTGTTAATTTGCTTAGGATAATGGTCTCCAGCTGCATCCATGTTGCTGGCAAGAATATGATCTCATTCTTTTTTATGGCTGCATAGTATTCCATGGTGGTATGTACCACATGTGCTTTTCACAATCCACTGTTTATTGGCATCAAGATTGAATCCATGTCTTTGTTATTGTGAGTAGTGCTATGACGAACATATGAGTGCAGAATCTTTTTATTAGAAAGAGGTGTTTTATTTTGACTATATACCTGGTAATGGGATTGCTGTGTTAAATAGCAGTTTTAACTTTTTGAGAAATCTCCAAACTGCTTTCCAAAATGGCTGGATTAATTTACCTTCCCACTGGCAGTGTATAAGCATTCCCTTTACCCCACAGCATTGCCAACATCTATTGTTTTTTGACTTTGTAGTAATGGCTATTCTGACTGGTGTGACATGGTATCTCATTGTGGTTTTGAATTGAGTTTCTTTGATAATTAGTGACATGGAGCATTTTTTCATATTTGTTGGCTACTTGTTTATCTTCCTTTGAAAAGTGTCTGTTCAGTTTTTTTAGTCCATTTTTTTAATGGAGTCATTTGGGTTTTGCTTATTGGTTCGTTATGGATTGTGGATATTAGACCTTTGTTGAATGTGTATTTTGCAAGTATTTTCTTTTTCATTTTGCTAGGTTGTCTGCTTACTCTACTGATAGCTTCCCTTGCTGTGCAGAGGCTCTTTAGTTTAATTAGGTCCCACTTGTCAATTTTTGTTTTTGTTGCAGTTGGTTTTGAGGAATTAGTCATAAATTCTTTCTCAAGACTTATGTCCAGAATGGTGTTTTTCTTAGATTTTCTTATAGGATTCTTATAGTTTAAGGTCTTACATTTAAATCTTTAATCTATCTTGAATTAATTGTTGTATATCGTAAAAAGAAGGGTTCTAGTTTCATTCTTCTGCATGTGGCTAGCCAGCTGACCCAGCATCACTTATCGAATAGAAAATACTTTCCCCATTGCTTATTTTTTGTTAGCTTTCTTAAAAATCAGATGGCCATAGATGTGTGGCTTTATTTCTGGGTTCTCTATTCTGTTCCATTGGTCTATGTGTCTGTTTTTGTACCAGTACCATGCTGTTTGGGTTACTGTTGCCTTGTAGTGTAGTTTGAAGTCAGGTAATGTGATGCTTCCAACTTTGTTCTTTTTGCTTAGGATGGCATTGACTATATGAGATAATTTTTGATTTCATACAAACTTTAAAATAGTATTTTCCAGTTTTGTGAAAATGATGTTGGTAGTTTGATAGGATAACTTTGTATCTGTAGATTCCTTTGGGTAGTTTGACCATTTTAATGATACTGATTTGTTTATGTCATTTTTTATTTCTTTTAGGAGTGTTTTGTAGTTATCCTCACAGAATATTCTACCTCCTTGGTTAGATGTATTCTGAGGTATTTTATTTGTGTGTGTATGGCTATTGTAAATGAGACTGTGTTCCTGACTGGGCTCTCAGTTTGAATGTTATTGGTTTATAGAAAAGTTACTAATTTTTATACATTGGTTTTATATCGTGAAACTTTACTGAATTTGTTTATCAGTTTCAGGAGTCTTTTGATGGAGACTTCAGGGTTTTCTAGTTATAGAATCATTTCATCCATGAACATAGACACTTTGAATTCTTCTCTTCCTATTTTAATGCCTTTTATTTATTTTTGTTGCATGATTGCTGTGGCTAGCACATCCAGTACTATTTTAAATAGGAGTGATGAGATGGACATCCTTGTCTTGTTTCAGTCTTCAATAGGAACACTTACTTCCCAGTTTTGCCTGTTCAGTCTGATGTTGACTGTGGTTTTGTCATAGACAGCTCATTATTTTAAGGAATGTTTCTTGGATGTTTAGTCTGTTGAGAGCTTTTATCATTAGGGAATGTTGGATTTATTAAAAGCTTTTTTTTCTGTGTCTATTGAGATGATCATATGGTTTTTGTTTATAATTGTTTTTATGTGATGAATCATATTTATTGATTTCTGTATGTTAAACCAACTTTGCAACCCAGGAATGAAGCCTACTTGTTCTTGGTGAATAAGTTTTGATATGTTGTTTGCATTTGATTTGCTAGTTATTTTGTAGAGAATTTTTGTATCTATATTCATCAGAGATACTTGCCTGTAATTTTCTTATTTTTGTGGGTGACTGCCAGGCTTTGGTATCAGAGTGATGCTTGCTTTCTAGAATGAATTACAGAGAAGTCCTTCCTCCTTAATTCTTTAGAATAGTTTCAGTATAGATGATGCCAGATCTTCTTTGTAAATCTGTTAGAATATGACGGTGAATCCCTCTTTGTCTGTTTTTTTTTTTTTTTTTGGTTGACTTTTTTTTATTACTGATTGAATTTTAGAACTCAATATTGGTCTGTTCAGTGTTTCAATTTCTTCTTAATTCAATCTTGGAAGATTGTATGTTTCTAGGAATTTATACATTTTCTCTAGATTTTCTAATTTGTGTTCATAGAGGGGTCCATAACAGTCTCTGAGGAACATTTTCATTTCTGTGGCATTGCTTGTAATGCCACCTTTGTTGTTTCTGATTATCCTTGTGTGGATCTCTGTTCTTTTTCTTTGATAATTTAGTTAGTGGTCTATCAATATTGTTTATTCTTTTAAAAATGGCTTTTGCTTTTGTTCATTTTTTGTATGGATTTTTGGGTTTCAATTTCATTCAGTTCTCTCAGTTTAATTTTCTGCTGCTAGCATTGGCGATAGTTTATTCTTATTTTGTGTCATTTTTTATCATTAGTTTGAGATTTTTCTAGTTTTTTGGGTAGGTATTTAGCACTGTAAACTTTTCTCTTGACAATCCTTTTGCTGAATTCCAGAGATTTTGATGTGTTGTGTCTCTCTTTTCATTTACTTCCAAGATTTTTTTTTTAATTTCTGGATTAACGTTTTTTTACCTTGAAGTCATTCAGAAGCAAGATGTTTGATTTCCATGTAATTTTGTATTTTTCAGGGATATTTTTGGTACTGTTTTCTATTTTTACTTCACTGTTGTCTGAGACTATGGTTGGTATGATTTCAAATTTTTTGAATTTATTGAGACTTGCTTTAAAATCAAGTAATGCGGTCAATCTTGAAGTATGCTCTGTGTATAATAGAGAATAACATACATTCTGTGGTTAACAGGTGAAGTATTCTATTGATGTCTATTCTGCCCAATTTGTCAAGTGTTGGATTTATGTACAGAATTTCTTTGCTAGTTTCCTGTCTAATACTGTCAGTCAGGTGTTGAAGTCTTCCACTATGCTTGTGTGGTTGTCAAGTCTTTCATAGGTTTAGAAGTTCTTCCTTTATAAATCTGGGTGCTCCAGTATTGGAAGTGTATATATTTAGGAAAGTTAAGTCTTCTTTTTACATTGAACCTTTATCATTATGTAATACTCTTTTTTATTCTTTATTTTACTGCTGTTGGTTTAAAGTCTGTTGTATGTGATATAAAATTAGAGACTCTGCTGTCTTTTGTTTTCCATTTATGTGGTAGATCTTTCTCCACCCCTTTACTTTGAGCTTATGGGTGTCACTACTTGTGAAATTGGTCTTTTGAAGACAGCAGATGGATGGGTCTTATTTTTTTATTCAGCTTGCCACTGTGTGCCTTTTTTCTTTCTTTTTTTTTTTTTTTTTGAGATTGAGTCTTGCTCTGTTACCCAGACAAGTGCAGTGGCGCAATCTTGGCTCACTGCAACCTCTGTCTCCCGGGTTCATGCAATTCTCCTGCTAATTTATGTATTTGTAGTAGAGGCAAGGTTTCGCTTTGTTGGCCAAGCTGGTCTTGAACTCCTGACCTCAGGTGATCCGCCCACCTCGGCCTCCCAAAGTGCTGGAATTACAGACATGAGCCACCGTGCTTGGCCCCACTCTGTGCCTTTTAAGTAGAGGCATTTAGACCATTTAAACTCAGATTTAATATTGGTATGTGAGGTTTTGATCCTATTGTGAAGTTTTTAGCTGCTTGCTTTGTAATTTCTAGTAAAAATATGGAACTAATTTGTGAATCATCCTTGCTCAGGGGTCATACTAATCTATGTATCATTTCAATTTTAT
Source organism: Homo sapiens (assembly GCF_000001405.40). Classification (NCBI taxonomy): domain Eukaryota; kingdom Metazoa; phylum Chordata; class Mammalia; order Primates; family Hominidae; genus Homo; species Homo sapiens. Next base: position 83,298,144 of record NC_000013.11, read on the forward strand.
TATATGTGCTGCCGAAATGAGCATGATTTAGCATAGTTCATAAAAGCCGTAGGATTTTTGAAATGGTAAATAAGCATTGGATTCAACTTTAAGTCCCCAGCTGCTTTAGATCCTAACAAGAGAATCAGCCTGCTTTTTGAAGTTTTGAAGTGTGGCACTGAGTTTTCCTCTCTAACTATGAAAGTCTTAGATGGCATCTTCTTTCAATATAAGGCTGCTTTGTCTACACTGAAAATCTGTTATTTAGTGTAGCCACCTTCATTCATTATCTCATATATTTTGTATAACTTGTTGCAGTTTCTGTATCAGCACTTTCTATCTCAACTTGCATTTTATGTTATAGAGATGGCTTCATTCATTAAACCTCATGAACCAACTTCTGCTAACTTCATTTGTTTGTGTGTGTGTGTGTGTGTGTGTGTGTGTGTGTGTGTGTGTGTGTAGGCAGCTTTCTTACCTTTCTAGGCCTTCATAAAATTGAAAAAAATTAAGCCCTGGCTTTGGATTAGGCTTTGGCTTGAGGGAATGTTGTGCCTGGTTAAATCTTTTATCCAGACCCCTAAATCTTTCTCCATATCAGCGATAAGGCAATTACACTTTATCATTTATATGTCCATGTAAGTAGCAATTTTAATTACCTTCAAAACCTTTGCCATTGCATTTACAACATGACTAACTGTTTAGCACATCCTTTCAGCCTGTCTCAGTTTTCAACATGCCTTCCTTGCTAACATTAATCATGTTCACTTTTGATTTAAAATGTGATAACTATGACTCCTCCTCCCTTTTAAACACTTAAAAGCTATTGTAATTTTTTTCATTCTAACATCTTGTAAATCATGAAATTCATTGCTTCATATTGC